>NC_000017.11:2915353-3066868 GCF_000001405.40 Homo sapiens | reverse complement strand
GCTGAGGCTGGAGAATCACTTAAAGCCGGGAGGCAGAGGTTGCAATGAGCCGAGATTGTGCCACTGCAGTCCGGCCTGGGTGACAGCAAGAGACTCCATCTCGGAAAAAAACAACTATCATGCAGGCTGAAAAATAAGGTCCCTGAACAACAACAACAACAAAAATAGCTAATGACAATATTGACTTGGAGGAAGTTCCCCATCACATTGCTGAGTGAATAAAGATGACTGAATGAATCAAACGGAAAGTATCTTCACCAAAGTGTAAACAGTGGCTGCTCTGACAGAATTTGGGGCGACTTTTACTTATTGTATAAATTTTTTGGTATTGCTTTAATTGTTCACGTTGGAAATTTTTTGTCTATAATCAATAGATTACAATATAGTTTTTTAGAGCCATTTTTTTTGAGACAGGGTCTTGCTCTGTTGCCCAGGCTGGAGGGCAGTGGCACAATCGTGGCTCACTGCAGCCTCGGCCTCCCAGGCTCAGGTGATCCTACCACCTCAGCCTCCCAAGTAGCTGGGACTACAGGCATCTGCAGCCACACCCAGTTAATTTTGTATTTTTAGTAGAGATGGGGTTTTGCCATGTTGCCCAGGCTGGGTCTGGAACTCCTGGGCCCAAATGATATGCATACCTCTGACTCCCAAAGTGCTGGGATTACAGGCATGAGTCACTGCACCCTGCTGAAGCTATTTTTATTTAGAAAAAGAATTCCAAGGCCAGGCTCAGTGGCTCATGACTATAATCAAACCACTTTGGGAAGACAAGGCAGAAGGATTGCTGGAGGCCAGGAGTTGGAGACCAGCCTGGACAACATAGCGAGACCCTGTTTCTACAGAAAAAATTTAAATCAGCCAGCCATGGTGACACACGCCTGTGGTCTTAGCTACTCGGGAGGCTGAGGTGGGAGGATGGCTTGAGCTCAGGAGTTCAAGGCTACAGTGAGCTGTGATGACACTGCTGTACTCCAGGCTGGGCAACAGAGTGAGACCCAATCTCTAAATAAATAAATGTATACAAAAAGAATTCGACAAAATATTTTTAAAATTTCTCTTGTAAGCCATTAAAGAAATTGCAGGAAATTTTAAATGTTAGACTTGACAATAAGTGAATACAAGTTTAGTATGGACTCTGATGCAAGCCAAATTGTACTAAAAAGGCAGATGCCAAAAAAGACCGTAGACAAACTTCACGAATAATTGTGACTACAAAAGTCTAAATAAAATATTAGCAAATTGATTCAGTGGTTCATAATGGGCATACAAGTATGCTTCCATATTAAGAAGGCTATTCACATAATGTATCTTGAGTGACACTGAAAAAGTGTTTTATTAAAAATGCAACAGCCATACCTGATTTTTTAAATACTGTTGATAAACTATGAAGAAAAACAATAGTTGCTAAATATGCACAGCCACTTCTGCTTTATAGTTCATTACTGGCCATTGCACAACATCCTGTCTCACCAATATCCTCTTTGCTCCCAGACATGCTGGCCTATATTTACTTCCTTAAACACAAGAATGACCTTTCCCTGCTCAGGGGCTCTGCTCAGGGTGGCTGTTTTTCTGCAAAGCTCTTTGCCTATTGTGTTACAAGACTGGCTTTTTGTGGTCCTTCATGTCTCGGCTAAAAAGACATTAGCCATGGTTATCTAACTCTACATGCTGGAATTTGATACAATTTTTATTATCTCCTTTATAACTTTTCAGATTTTTAATGTTTTATTCCATATACATTCAGTTTTTCAAAAGGAAAAAATAATTTTTTAATCTTTAGTATATTTTGATAAAATATACTAGTATGTTTGGTATGTTTTAGTATGTTTGATAAAATACAAAACATTGATGTAACTTTTCCCAAAAAATAAGTAGACAGTTGTCCTAATGTCATTTATTGCATAATGCAACCTTTCCCTGGTGAATTAAAGTGTCACATTCCACATGAACTTGGCTGTTTCTTAAGTTTCTAGACAGTTCTACTGATCTGTTCATTCTAGCACCAGTACCCCCACTATTTTAAAGTTCTTAATAGAGCAAGTGTCTCCTTGTCTTCAACATTTTCCTAGCTTATTTTCATTCCTATTTTATAGGAAATTTAAACTAGCTCTTGTTTCTTTAAAACCCTGTTACAATTTTGACTTTCAAATAGGTTAAATTTTAGAACAACTCAGAATATGCACCTTTGCAACATCTCATCTTTTTTATCTAGAATCTTGGTTATATCTGTCCATTTAATAAATTTTTACTTTATGCCTCAATAGAGATTCTTATTAATACCTTAATGCATAGATTGTTTGCTGATAATGTGTTTCATATTTTAATCTTAGTATTCTTATCATTCATATATAATAACAGGTACTATTTATTGAGTGCTCTCCACATGTCAGCTCTTTGTGTTAAGTACTTTATTCCTTAATTTTCTCCTCACCCCAACCCATTTTTCACATTTAAAAAACCTGAGTCTTAAAGAACACAAGTGACCTGCCTGAGGCATTACAGCCAAGAAGAGGCAGTGCTTTGACTTGAATTTAAGAGTTCGGGATCAATAGATGCCCAAACATCAGCATCTCTCAATATATCCTTGTAACAAATCTGCACATGCACCCCCGAATCTAAAATTAAAATTAAAAAAAAAAAAAAAAAAGAGTTCCCACAGAACGGTCTTTAGCACTGCACTACGTGGCTTACGGGGACCATGAAAGCTGAGAGCCTGTTCATTTTGTCATGGGTCACTTCACTGACTAATCACAGACATCTTTTTTTTCTAATGATGTTTCCATTCATTTTCTTAGATTTCCCAGAGAGATCATTATATCAACAAGTAATAATAATTCTTCTTTCTCCTTTCCAATATTTTATTTCTCCACTTCCTCCAATTGGACAATAATCTTTTCTTGTAATGCATATACCTGTATTAAATACCACTTAAAACCCTGTATAAAATCATAACATAACACACTAAACTTTAAACACTTCAAGACTATTGGAAGATGGCAGGATTAAAAATAAGGCTTAGACATTGTTTTTATAATATTCATTATGTCAGGTGAGAAGTTGCTGGAATAAATAAGTTGCATACTTTCCATATTCTATTTTTGTGCCTATAATGACCTGTTGCTTTTGTTATTTTTAAAGTTTAGTCCAAGATATTTTAATTCTAAGAAAAGAGTTGATTTTGCTTATCTTCGTGTCCTTATTCAAATGAGGGCACTTAATAAACATTTGTTGGTGTTAATGTTACAGAAAGTTGGGGGAATGGATGGAGATAACCAGAGTGAGAACTCACAGTTCCTTCTCCTGGGGATCTCAGAGAGTCCTGAGCAGCAGCGGATCCTGTTTTGGATGTTCCTGTCCATGTACCTGGTCACGGTGCTGGGAAATGTGCTCATCATCCTGGCCATCAGCTCTGATTCCCACCTGCACACCCCCATGTACTTCTTCCTGGCCAACCTCTCCTTCACTGACCTCTTCTTTGTCACCAACACAATCCCCAAGATGCTGGTGAACTTCCAGTCCCAGAACAAAGCCATCTCCTATGCAGGGTGTCTGACACAGCTCTACTTCCTGGTCTCCTTGGTGACCCTGGACAACCTCATCCTGGCCGTGATGGCGTATGATCGCTATGTGGCCACCTGCTGCCCCCTCCACTATGTCACAGCCATGAGCCCTGGGCTCTGTGTCTTGCTCCTCTCCTTGTGTTGGGGGCTGTCTGTTCTCTATGGCCTCCTCCTCACCTTCCTCCTGACCAGGGTGACCTTCTGTGGGCCTCGAGAGATCCACTACCTCTTCTGTGACATGTACATCCTGCTGTGGCTGGCATGTTCCAACACCCACATCATTCACACAGCGTTGATTGCCACTGGCTGCTTCATCTTCCTCACCCCCTTAGGGTTCATGACCACATCCTATGTACGTATTGTCAGAACCATCCTTCAAATGCCCTCGGCCTCTAAGAAATACAAAACCTTCTCTACCTGTGCCTCCCATTTGGGTGTGGTCTCCCTCTTTTATGGGACGCTTGCTATGGTGTACCTGCAGCCCCTCCATACCTACTCCATGAAGGACTCAGTAGCCACAGTGATGTATGCTGTGCTGACACCTATGATGAACCCTTTCATCTACAGGCTGAGGAACAAAGACATGCATGGGGCTCCGGGAAGAGTCCTATGGAGACCCTTTCAGAGGCCTAAATGAAGGTAATTTTGGAAAGGGGATTGAAGTGGAGACCGGAAATATCCTTCTCCACACATAAGGCATTATGCTTTGGGATATGCAACAGTCAGAGTACAGCTCCAGCTCAGGATGAGCATATCTACCTGTGGTGAAGAAAAGACACAATGTGTATCCCAGTGCCTCCCAGACCTCACCAGCCTTGGCAATAAATAATGTCATGCTAACACTACTACCAGGATTTTACAGGGTCAAATATTTAAACCTGCTTGATCATAGGCCCACAGTCCTAGGCTTATCTATATATACACAGTCATAGCTTAGGGAGGGCTCTCATGTTTTCTAGCACCCATTCACTTATGACCCAGAGGTTTGGCTTCTCTAAGGAGCCTGCTATCTTCAAGCTCTTTAGAGAAGACACTTTGCACTACCCCTACCACAGATGCCCTGGGTGAGGCTTCCCCTTTCTTGATGTTCTAACAGGTACAACACGCACCACTTCAATGTTGACATATAGTCACTCTGGACACAGCTCATATGGTTCATGCAGAAATGCCAACAAGATTCCTCTTGTGCTCTGGGTTGATTTTATCTTTGGGGCCTCAAAGCAACACTCTCTTGCCTTTTCCCTGCATTCCTTTTCTCTGTAGGAAGTCAGACCTTGCCCTTGGAAAGACCATCCTATCTTTTATTTCTGTAGTTCCTCACCTTCCTTCTCTTTATGCAAGAATTCCATCCATCCCTGAAAACAAAACTCTCAAACATAAATGCATATTCATAAATAGCAGTGGTAGTATGGCCAGTAGAAGGGGAGGATTCTGGAACAAATGAACAATTTAGTGATCCCAGAGAACATAGAGGAAAGGAGATATTTTAATAAATAAATTGGGAATCGAACTCAATAAAATATAAAACAAAAATACAATGAAGAGGATTTTAAAAGCCAAAGATAGGTTCTTTTAAAATAAAATGAACAAACCCCTGGAACATTGAGCAAAGAAAGAAAAGACATGAGTAAAGACTACAGTGGGAAGAATGGTGGTAAAAACTAAAGATAACATCAAGATTAGGGTGATGAAGAGGGAATATCATCAACATCTACATGCCAATAATTTTGAACATTTTGACAAAATAAATAAATCCTTGAAAAAAATGTGACTTTTCAAAGCTGACTCAAGAAGAAATGGAAAAATTAAATAGTCCTATAACTAGAATTTAAGCAATCATTTTAAATATTCATATATATATGAATATGTACACATCACAAATATAAATCCATTGATAAGCAACTTTTAGGAAGTTACGAATCATCCAGTTTTTTTAAAAAAAAATTTGCAGAGAATAGAAAAAGAAATAAAACTTCCCAAATAGTTTTATGTCATAATTATCACCTGATATCAAAGCAGAAAAAGAGGACAAGAAAAAGTGCAAGAGCTAATTTCACTTAAAAATATAAATACAGGTATCCCAAAGAAAATACTAGTAAATTGAATCCAACAGAGAATTTAAAAATAATAATACTGCATAAGTACCCATTAGGATATTTCAAAGGTATATAAAGATAATTTGATACTTTTTAATCCATAAGTGTTTATTATATTGACAAATAAAAAGAAAAAATCAACATGTCAATAGATGCAGAGAAAGACAAAATTCTAAACAAATGTTGTCCTTGATAAAGCAATAAATTTTTATTAAATCACATCTTTTCATGTATGTCTTTTTAATATTTTGTATAATATAATGGCTAGTACCAGAGAGCACTTCTGCATCTCAGAGTACAATGATTGTCTTGTGAGGAAGTACTTGAATGATTGAATTTGGGCTCAACCAGCCATTTCATGGAACATTATTTTTATTTGTTAGAATTACTGATAAACTATAGTTATTCAGAATTGGTATTTGGCAGGCGTTGCCACAAAATAAATGAAGTGAGCCTGTCGCTGTAAGAAAAACTGACAGTATTTGTTGCCAGTAATAAATATTTGGTCTATCAAGCAATATCACCCCTTTGGAAAATTCGTCCATCATGGTGATGGATATATATTTCATATATATATGAAATGTGTCAACACTGGAAGATCTGTATAACTCAGTGAGCCAGTATTTTTCAAATGACCAATGCATTATGTGAAAAAGTTACACATAAATAAAAGATTAACTTAAAATGCAAAAGAAGCCAATGGATTTTAATGACATAGGGGATAAAATGTCTATTCATGTGTTATCAGATTCTGCATTGCTACTAACCTTTAAGAAACTACCACTTATCACGTTTTGATGTAGTATCAAATAATATTAATTGAAAAGGTTATTAACATAATCCTCCCTTTTGCAATTACACATCTGTATAAGGCTGGATTTTCTTCATACATGTCAACCAAAATAACATATCACTACAAATAAATGCAGAAGCTGATACAGGAATCTAGCTCCCTTGTGTTAAGCCAGACATTAAAAAGATTGGAAAAAAAGTAAAACCATGCTATTCTTCAATAAATTTTTTTAAAAAATATAGTTATTTCTATTTAAAATCCTACTATAAAAACATGTCATGGTAATATTATTGTTTTATGAGGGAATTAGTAAATAAATATTTTAAATGTCTTTCTAATATGAGAATATCAGTAGATAAAACCCATATAAACACAGCTCATGGCTCTTTTGGTCCCAAAAATTTTAAGCAGGTAAATGCATCCTGAAACCAAAAGTTTGAGAACTGTTCTCCTAAAGTACAAACATACTTGAAAATTGTTCTCAAATTCGGAAATCAATTCCTTTGAAAAGGAGAACAAAATGAGGGAAAGGAATAGGGATAATGCTTTAGTGTTAACTATAATATTTTAAATCTTTTTTACAGAAAGAAGTGACATGATCAGGTAACAAATTAATATTTTTAATTTTGTGGATGGTATATATGTGTCTAAAATTATTTTATTTTATTATATGCTTGAAATATGCCGCTAAAGAAAATGTAACACTTATTTTTAACCCTAAAATATTTATTAAGTAGTATTAAATTCCTTTGTTATTTTCAAACTCATATTTTTAATGGTTCTTTAACAAATTAGTTATTTAAAACATATAGCCTTATATGTGCTGGCAATGCCAACAGATAACACATAAATTCCAGCAGATAAGGTTACAAATAGAACACACTTTCAAATTACCTTCCTCTTTTCGTGATCAAAGACTATAAAATGTCATATACTTACTGACCATTCCTTCTCAATATTGATAATAGAATCAGAAATAGTCTCTTGTTTTATTTTCATAAATACTTAGGGAAGACATTGAGGCTTTAACGTTTTTAATTTGGATGATGTTTACATTGTACAAGTATATGACATAAAATCATTTTCAGGTAGAGTTTAAGTAACTTGAAATCAAAGCTGAGCTGAAAGGGAAGTGACTCTGTTTCGCCCACACTATCTAAAGGCTGATATTGTTCCCATTTCCTAGCTGAACTGTTTGCTCTTTCATAGAAAATGGAACTATGCAGAAATTATATTTAAAAATGTATATTGCAAATTTATAAAGGGAGGATAGGACAGAAGACCACTATGGGAAGAAAAAACTGTAACAGAGAATCAGAATGCAAAAACCCAGAAAAAAAACTCAGTACTTAAAAATTATAATACATCTTTTACCACAGTAATTATATAAACTAAAATTAGAATCTAATTTTTGCCTAATTATACCTTATAAGACACAAGTATAATTGAATTTATGCCATGGTTAAGTGCTATTCTACCTTACACTACATCATCTACACTATTGCGAAGCACTTACTCCCAATTTTAACTGTATGTGAAAGGAATAAAAGTCTTCAGCCATCTAGGCATGCAATCTTTCTCAATTGAGTGAGTTAAATGGTACCTGGAAAAGGGTTTGATACGGTGTCAAAATATGAGATATAAAAAGATAGCTTATATCTGTGAGGTTTTTATTACGCCATTGAATTAATAAAGACTTTAAAGAATGAATCAGACTTTAAAACTCATCTATTCATGGATCTGTAGAGACAAAAGTCATGGTTATTTCTAACCAAAATTAGCTGAAGCATTATTTCTATTACTTTTCTATTATGCTCACTGGTGTCAAGAAAGGAAGGAAATCATATTTCTGACATCTGCCAGATTACAGGACTTTCAAATGTTTCTCATTGAGTCCTTTAAACAATCTTATGAACAAGGTTTTGTTATTTTTATTTTACAAATGAGGAAACAGATACATAAGCAATTTTCCTAAGTAAATCACAGGGCAGTTATTCAAATTCATTTAGTTTAAGAAAATGTTATGGCAAAAATGCTGAGAAAGTGTGATGGAAAGAAAATTATAAGATTTTTATGTAATTTTTTCAAAATCTGTGAGTCATTTTCAGAATATAAACCACACTGCCTAAATCAGGGTCAATAGTTGATTTACTCTTCATAATGTATACATCTGACAAAGGACTAATATCCAGAATTTACAACAAACTCAAACAAATCAATAAGAATAAAACAAACAATCCCATCAAAAAGTGGGCTAAGGACATGAATAGACAATTCTCAGAAGAAGATAAACTAATTGTCAGCAAACATTTGAAAAAATGCTCAACTTCACTAATGATCAGGGAGATGCAAATCAAAACCACAATGTGATACCACTGTACTCCTGCAAAAAGCAGCCATAATCAAAAAATTATCATACTCCTGCAAGAATGTCCATAATCAAAAAATAGAAAAACAGGAGATGTTGGCATGGATGCAGTGAACAGGGAACACTTCTACACTGCTGGTGGGATTGTAAGCTAGTACAGCCACCATGGAAAACAGTGTGGAGTTTCCTTAAAGAACTAAAAATAGAACTACCATTTGATCCAGCAATCCACTACTGGGTATCTATCCAGAGGAAAAGAAGTCATTATTTGAAAAATGTACTTGCACACTCATGTTTATAGCAACACAATTCACAAATGCAAAATCGTGGAACCAACCCAAATGCCCATTGATCAACGAATGGGTAAAGAAACTATGGCATATATACAATGGAATACTACTCAGCCATAAAAAGGAATGAATTAATAGCATTTGCAATGACCTGGATGAGACTGGAGACTATTATTCTAAGTGAAGTAACTCAAGAATGGAAAACCAAAGATCATGTGTTCTCAATGATATGTGGGAGCTAAGCTATGAGGACACAAAGCCATAAAAATGATATAATGGATTTTGGAGACTTGGGGAGAAGACTGGGAGGGGGGCGAGGAATAAAAGACAACAAATATGATGCAGTGTATACTGCTTGGATGATGGGTGCACAAGGATCTCATAAATCTCCACTAAAGAACTTACTCATGTAACCAAATACACCTGTACCCCAACGACTTATGGAAAATAAAATAATAAAATAAAAATAGTTGATTTACCAAGCAAAAAAAAAAGAAAAAGAAAAAAAGAAATTATTCATAGTTACTTTTTTAGTTTTTAAAGGATCTGAAGCTTTGGTTTGCCATTGGGTTTGAAACTGGATGAATGATTAGATGTGGAAAACACATTTGTCTTAGTCAATTAGGGATGTTATAACAAATACCATACACTGGGTGGCTTAAACAACAGATTGATTTTCTCATACTTGTGGAAGCTAGGAGTCACTATCAGGATGCCAGCATGGTTGTGTTCTGGTAAGACTTCTTCCTAGCTTGTAGGCAGCCACCATCTTGCTGTGTGCTCACATGACCTCTTCTTTGTGTATGCAACGAGAGAAAGGAAAAGCACTGGTCTCCTCCTCTTCTTATAAGAGCACTAATCCCATTATGGGGCTCACCATCATGAGCTCCTCTAAACCCAGTTACCTCCCAAAGGTACTATCACATGGGGCAGTAGAGCTTCGACATACGGATTTGGCAGGGACACAAACATTCAGTCCATAACAATACTTCTTTCCCCTCTAAACACATAGAAAATCTGAATCATATATTTTTTATTAAAAATTGGTCAAGAAGAGAACGACATAAGCAAGATGGCAGAATAGGAGTTCTCCACTTTCACTCCCCCACACAGAAATCCAACTAGAAGCACCCACAATCAAGAATACCATCCTAACACAAGGACACCGGGAGAGGAATGACACACACTGGGTCCTGTTGGGGGAGTGGGGGCGGTGGAGGGAGAGAATCGGGATAAAGAGCTAATGCATGCAGGGCTTAGTACCTCAGTGATGGGTTGACAGGTGCAGCAAAACACCATGGCACATGTTTACCTACATAACAAATCTGCACATCCTGCACATGTATCCTGGAACTTCAAATTTTTAGAAAAACATCTTGAACATTCCAGGAATTGGGACTGAGGCTGAGACACCACCCTGGGCCACACAACTGAGAAGAGCCATCATCAAAGAGTAACAGAAATTGTTCCCTGACCATTTCACCCGCCCCAAAGTCAGCACCACACCACACAGAGAATGTTCTAGACCCACAGTTTCTACAATAAGAAAAGTGAATTGGAAGCGGATACTCAGTTTCCCCTTCATTCTGGGATCCTTTGCAGGAGGAGGCAAGCTCATGCTTGTCTCATCCCAGGGGACACAGAGAGAGCGCAGGCAGAGTGAGACCACCTGGGGTCAGTTAGAAACAAAGAATGAAGGTAGGACTTAAAGTAGCCAGCACACAGATCTTGGGAATTGCTCTGTATTCTGGCCAATAGAGGTGCCACACCAGAAGAAACTAGTCGACAACATCGTGCTGTAGGAAACATTGTCCATAGGCCTTTCAGGCTCAAATCCTGAGCCACCTTTCCCACACAACCCAGTTGCTTTCATTAGTCTTCCCCAGGTTGAGAGGCAACTGCATGTCAGCAATTACCTGTAAAATGACCATCTGGACTTGCCCAACTTTACTTCCTGGGATGCAAGGCTGGTTCAACATACACAAATCAATCAATGTGATTTATCACATAAACAGAATTAAAAGCAAAAACCATATGATCATCTCAATAGAAACAGAAACAGGTTTTGGTAAAATCCAGCATCCCTTCATGATAAAACTCCTCAACAGAGTAGGCATCCAAGGAACATACCTCAAAATAATAAGAGCCATCTATGACAAACCCACAGCCAACATCATACTGAATGGACAAAAGCTGGAGCCATTCCCCTTGAGACCTGGAACAAAACAAGGATGCCCACTGTCACCACCCTATTCAACATAGTACTGGAAGGCCTAGCCACAGCGATCAGGCAAGAGAAATAAAAGGCCTCCAAATAAGAAAAGAATAGGTCAAACTATTGAAAAGTGGGACCTAATTACCTAAAGATCATCTACACAGCAAAAGAAACTATCAAAAGAGTAAACAGACAACCTGCAGAACGGGAGAAAATATTTGCAAACTGTGCATCTGACAAAGGTCTAATATCCAGTATTTGTAAGGAACTTAAATAAACAAGCAAAAAATAACCACATTTAAAAAATGGGCAAAGGAAAAGACACTTCTCAAGGGAAGGGACAGGATTGGACAACAAACATATGAAAAAAAATGCTCATCACTAATCATCAGAGAAATGCAAATCAAAACCACAGTGAGACACCATCTCACACCAGTCAGAATGGCTATTAATAAAAAGTCCAAAAAAAGCAGATGCTGGCAAGGCTGTGGAGAAAAGGGAGGGAACGCTTATATGCTGATGGTGGGAATGTAAATTAGTTCAGCAACTGTGAAGAGCAGTTTGGAGATTTCTCAAAGAACTTACAACAGAACTACCATTTGACTCAGCATTTCCATTACCGGGTATATAAATCATTCTACCATAAGGACATATATATGCATATGTCCATCACAATGAGATTCACAACAGCAAAGACACGGATTCAACTTTGGTGCCCATCAGTCGTTGACTGGATAAAGAAAATGCTTATATATACCATGGAATATTATGCAGTCATAAAAAAGAAGGAAGTCACATCCTTTCCAACAACATGGATGGAGCTGAAGGCCAAAATCCTAAGCAAACTAACTCAGGAACAGAAAACCAAATACCACATGTTTTCACTTATAAGTGGGAGCTAAACATTGAAGACACATGGACACAAACAGGAGAACAACAGAAACTGCAGACTAATGGTGAGGGAGGAGGGGAGGGAGGCATGGGTTGAAAAACTACCTATTTGGTACTATGCTCTCTGGCTGGGTGCAATATACACATGCAACAAACCTGCATATGTACCCTCAATATTGAAAATTTTTTAAAATAAAATTTTTAATAAACAAAAACAAACCATTCCATATAAAACCACAAAAGACCCCAATAGCCAAAAATAAACTTCAGCCAAAAGAACAAAGCTGAAGGCATCACACTCTCTGATTTCAAAACATATTAACATATTATAAAACAATTTTAATCAAAATACTATGGTACTGGCATAAAAACAGAAACATCTATACATGAATAGTGAACTATCTGAAAAAAAAATGGAGAAACCATACCATTTACAATAGCTACCAAAACCAAAGATCCCTTGGAGTACATTTAACCAAAGAGATGAAAGATCTCTAAAATAAAAACTATAAAACATTGAAGAAAAAATTGAAAAGAGAATAGTAAATGAGAAAATATTCCCTGTTCATGGATTGAAAGAATTACCATTACTAAAATGTCCATGTTACTCAAAGCAATCTACAAAGGCAAAAAAATCCATATCAAAATAGCAATGATGTTCTTTATAGATATATGAACTGATGTTTCTTTAGATGACATACAAATGGCCAATAGGTACATGAAAATATGCTCACATCACTAATCATTAGAAAAATGTACATCAAAATCACCATGAGGTATCATTTCATGCTTGTTAGAACAGCCTTCACCATAAAGATGAATGACGAGTATCGGAGGATGTGGAGAAAAGGTAACTTTTAAGCATTGTTGGTGGGAATGTAAATTAGTATAACAATTATGGATGATGGTATGGAGGTTCTTTAAAAACTAAAAATCGAACCACTGCTGGGCACAGTTGCTCGTGCCTGTAATCCCAACACTTTAGGAGGATGAGGCACGAGGATCACTTACAGCCAGGAGTTTGACACCAGCCTGGGCAACATGGTGATACCCCATCTCTACAAACACAAAATTTAAAAAGCTAGCTGGGCATGGTGGCACAAACCTGTAGTCCTAGCTCCTGGGGAGGTTAAGGCAAGAGGATCTCTTGAGCCCAGGAGGGCAAGGCTGCAGTGAGCTATGACTGTGCGACTGCACTCCAGCCTGGGCGGAAGAGTGAGACCTTGCCTCTAAAAAAATTACTTTTTTAAAATGAAGCTACCATGTTTCAGTAATCCCAATTCTAGATATGTACCCAAAGGAAATGAAGTCAGTATGTTGAAGGCATATCTGCTCTCCCGTGTTCATCACAGCTCCTGCTCCAGAATCACAACTACCATGTCAGGTAGTCCTGGGTCCCTTTCTGCTCTGGAATCCATCACTTCTGGGTACCAAATACACTTCTGGGTACCAAATACACTTCTGTATACAATACTGTACCCACCAACTACAGCAGTACTCTCTAAGCAAAGGGAGGAGGGAGAGAACAAAGAAGCAAGCCAAGCCCAGCAACAAGGAGCCAGGTAGGAGATATTCCCTGAGCTGGGTTTGAAGGGACAGGAAAAACAGAAATTTTGTTGACCAAAGAAAAAAAATTGAGAAGAAAAGTTGAGGCAAAGGGAATAGCACACATGAAAGCACAGGGATTTGAAACAGGGTGTGTGCGGGGAGTGATGGGGAGTCTGTTATAAATAAGAGCGGCGGCAGTGACGCTATCCAGGCAGTGTCACAGGCCAGGGGCTCCAGAAGCAAGTATGAGAAAGAGTTTGGAGTGAAAAGTGTTTACTAGGGAACAACACCTGTGAAGGAACAAGGGAAGGAGATTGATTGGGCAGAGGAGGAAGTCAAATTGCAGGCTGACCTCCCAGAAAGCCGATTATCTCAGCACATTTTCTGCTTCTATAACAAAATACCTGAAACTGTGCAATTTATAAAAAACAGAAAATAATTTCTCACAGTTCTGGAGGCTGGGAAATCCAAACCAAGCTGCCAGCTAGTGAGGACCTGGTCTCTGCATCCCCTTGGGGGACAAGAACACCGCACCTTCACATGGGGAAAGGTGAAAGAGCAAGAAAGCCACACACTGCATGAAGCCTCTTTTATAAAGGGTCTTATCCCATTCACGTGGGAGGAGCCTCGTGGCCTAATCACCTCTTAAAGGCCCCACCTCATAATACTATCGCACTGGCTATAAAGTTTCAACGCATGACTTTTGGAAAGGACACTTTCACACCGTAGCACCAACCCAGCAGGGAGATTTGGAATGACTGTTGGCCATCGGAGCTGTCCCATATCAGGTTAAAATGGACAGTCTTTATACCCCTGCCTCAATCACCAGGTGTGGGCTATCCAGGAAAAGGGACTGCCTTGGGGAAGGAGGCTCTCTGCAGCTACGGTAAACCCTAAAGGAGGTGACAGCTGAAGGCTGTCTGCCGACCACACTCCTCACAGCTGGGCAGCAAGTCTGTCTTTGAAGGGAGAACTGTTCTTGAAGATCATCTCCATGTGTCCACAGACACGTGTGAGCAATGTCATTGAGGGCCCCTATGGCTAGTTAAGGAGCTTGGATTGTATGCAATAGACAATAGAGAGTCCATGAAAAGTCTCAGGCATGGAAATGACACACCCAGCTTTGTGTTAAGTGGCATTGTCAACAATGCATGTGAAACAGGGCTGAAGGGTGAAGTCAGGGAGATCAGTTAGGAGACTGCTAAATTGGCCAAAGTGAGGGGAAGCACCTGAAGAGGCAGTAACAGAAGCATAAAGGAGAGGAAGGATCAGAGAGGAATTTAGGAGGTAAAACTTGCAAGAGGGAAGCCGACACTGTGTATTTTTGGAAGGGAAATCACAGTATCAAACATTCAAAAGCAGAACCTCTCAGCATCTACCCTCGCCCTTCCCAGCCAGCATGCACCTGATTAGACATTCTGGTTTTGTTCACCAGTTTTCCCAGTATCTGGGTCAATTGTTTCATACATAGTAAATGCTTGATAAATACTTGTTGAATGAATGATGGATGAGTAAGAGGACCGAGGCCACAGTCAACTGACACAAGATGTGGCTGCCACTTCCTGACTGTAAGCCTTCAGAAGCCATATCAAATTATAGTCTCTACACTCACACAAACATGCAAGGTGAAATGCAATACAAGGAAAGGGCTGCCACGGAAGCACAGCCTAGCTTTGCTTTAACAGCAGCTGAAGAATGAAGGCACACGCACCCTCTGGTGCAGCAGAGACCGTGGAGTGAAACAACTTGTCATTTTCAGTGGAGCCCAGGCCTTTCTCGTCCATTCCAAGGCCATAGGACACACTGCCTGGCCTGCAATTCCTCCACCACCAGGCAAGCAACCCACTTAGCTATGAGCCAAAAACATCTTCTTAGCCTAACAATCTCTCTCTCTCTCTCACACACACACACACATACACACACACACACACAGAATCCAGATCTCAGCTCTTAAGAAAATGACGAGAAGTGCATATTTTGAGGACCCGCAGCAGTGGTACCTAAGATGCCATTTCAGTGTGAAAAAAAAATCGAAACCCCATCCTACTTAACCCATATTATTATTGAGTATTCATTGACACGTTTTTTAATTGGCTTTCTAATCGGCTTGCCTGCAAAAACAAACAATGCAAATATGCAGAAAGTTAAAAGTAAGAAGTGTATCCAAAAGTGCCTATTTGCATAGACCATGTTGTGAAGGATGCTCAAGACACTTAGAAGCTCCCCCTGGAAATGGGAACAGGGGACTGGAACTGACTCTCGCCCGCT
This sequence comes from Homo sapiens, assembly GCF_000001405.40. Classification (NCBI taxonomy): domain Eukaryota; kingdom Metazoa; phylum Chordata; class Mammalia; order Primates; family Hominidae; genus Homo; species Homo sapiens. Next base: position 3,050,836 of record NC_000017.11, on the reverse strand, counting down.
AGAGTAGGAGACTGACTTATCACTAATTATCCATTTACATGGCTTATTTTTTCATGTATATGTATTAGTTTTTAAAAAGCATATTGTCAACAGTAAAATTTTAAAAAAAATAAGGCCAGGAGCAGTGGCTCACGCCTGTTCCCAGCACTTTGGGAGGCCGAGGCGGGCAGATCACCTGAGGTCAGGAGTTCGAGACCAGCCTGGCCAACATGGTGAAACCCAGACTCTGCTAAAAATACAAAAATTAGTCGGGAGTGGTGGGGGGGGGGGGCGCCTGTAATCCCAGCTACGCGGGAGGCTGAGGCAGGTAAATCGCTTGAACCCGGGAGGCAGAGATTGCAGTGAGCTGAGATCGCACCACGGCACTCCAGCCTGGGCCACAGAGCAAGACTCCGTCTAAATAAATAAATAAGTCTGCGCCCTTCCACTTCTCATGTCCACTTTGATATCACATGAGTAACCACTGTTAATAGTTTGGATGTGTATCCTTTCAGATGTTCATCGTTTCCTCCACAGATTTTCTGGCCCAGCAGCATAAGCCTATTTATGTCTCCATGTGAGATCATAGAATATACGATATCAAATTACCTGGACGTAGCAATAAGGCTCTGTGTTAACTTTGTGGTTCACAGTTCAGAGCAACAGAATGGTGACCCAAACATGGAGCAAGAGACACTGCTGGAGCCGCTTTTGCCAGTTTGCCAATGTGGCATTGCCAACTCTCCCTGCCCTCTGCCTCCTGGCGCAAGCCCTTGTGACTAGACCACTGCCTCAGTACCCAGTCCCAGTCCTGGGCTGGCTTCTAAAACAAACTCTACATTCACTTTTATTATCTAGAGCCCTCCCTGTTCCCATTCTGATGTGTGTCACCTCAGCCTTTTATCTGCGTATGTGTATTCAACAGGACCCAGGTCTGGGCCTCTGCAGCGAGGCTGGGCAGCCTCTCCTGGTGTATAAGTAGCCACTGGTCTGTTTTGCATGAGTCAGAACCCAGCGATTTCATGACAACCTGGAGTGCGTGTGTGCCTTGAGATGGTTGGGAGACAGAATCAGTTTTATGCACCAGCCACTACAGGCACCTGTGCCTCAGGCCTATAAACTTTCCAAGGATTCATAAAATGCTTGAATCCTGAAAGAAAAAAAATATTTATTACTAGCTCCAAAATGCTAAAAGCGCAAAGTTGAAATTACTAAATATTTATTTGAATGCATACGAAAACTGGCACATCAACTTGTCAAGAGAAACTCAAGTTTTCTAGACGGTCACCTACGTATCCTGTTTACTGTGGGATGCGGGTGCAAGAAGGCCCTTGAAGGTCCGGTACTTGGTCTTCCAGCCCCTGGCTGGGGCTGCCTCCCACTCGCCCAGCGTGGTCTCCTCCCCGGCCATAACCCGAGCCAGGGCTCCACCCCAGCCTCCCGTTCAGCCCGCAGCAGGGTATCCAGGTCTTCAGTGCAAAGAAGACACCTCCACCTGCCTCCCGCCATTTTCCCCTGAGGGCTGTTGAGTCCCACAACCCACCCCGGGGACAGCTGCCGCTCTGGAGGGTTCTGAACCTCGTCCAGCCCCGTTGACCGCGAGCCCGAGGCACACAACGGTGGAAAGAGAAACGAGCTTCCAGCAGCGTACTGCACCCCTCCACCCCCAGAAAACCCAGATCCCCAGCCGCTGGGAAACTGAGAGCAGCGGTGGGACAGCAACCAATGGGAAGCCCAGGAGGGTGGGACTCCTGTTTGACTGACCAATGGGAGTTCCTCGCAAAGCCGGACCTCACGGCCTGTTGCACACCCGATTCCACTCCCCGGAGGGGCTGAGCAAAGTCGCAGGCCCGGAGGCGACAGCCAATGAGGAGATGGAAAAGGCGGGACACCGGCAGAACCAGCGAATGAAAAGCCTGGAGAGGTCCACGCTCCAATTCCCTTCGCCGCCCGCAGCTGGATGTCGCCCTGTGGTTCCGCAGGTTGCGCGCGCCATCCAGTGGCAGCCGGGCGGGGAGGTATTCGAGATCCGTGCGTCTTCTCCGGAACCCCTTCGTAGGGCTCCCCAGTTTCAGGAGAAAGGATGACCCTGCCCGCCCTCCACGTCCACCGGGGAGCGAAATCGTCCTGGGCCCTCCATCCTTCCTGAAAGCGTCCTTCTTTCCTACCGCCCGTGCTCTTCTTCTGAGAAAGCATCGGAAGCTAGGATTCTAAATTCCGTTAGAAGAACACTGTGCAATGGCAATGGCCTATCAGACCGTTAGATGACCAAAGGCGCTGATAAAATGTAACATTGATTGGTAATTAAAAAAAAAAAAGAAAATGAAATTTTTAGTCAACAGGAATTAAACAAACCTGAATTTAATGACAACTCAGAAAACCATAGTGAACCTCACAGTGTTTGAAACGCCAGACGCATTCCTATGAAAGTCGAGCTGGATGCGAATGCCCCTGCTCTCACCGTTTTTATGTAATGTTTTGGAGCGCCCAGGCAAGATATAAGACTTCAAAGGGGGCAAGGCGGTTAAAACTGGGGGGCAGGAGGAAAACAAAATATTATTATTTCAGGTGAAATGATTTATACTTGAAAATCAAGAAACATTAAAAACTAGAGAATTCAGTCAGGTCTCTGGAAGAAAAATATATTTGTGTGTGGAACGTGTTGTCTGGGAGTATACAGAAAAAAATAAAGAAAAGGAAAGAAGACTATAGATATCCTACATGCTAGCATCAGAGATGTTGAGGAAAGAAGACCCCATTCGCTGGAAAAACGAAGGCAAATTTTTCATATGTAGGTGATATGATTCTATACTTTGAAAGACAGAGCCCATTAAAATTGTTAGGAACAATAAGAGAATAGGATGAGTTGGCTGGATGCAAAATCAATATACAAAAATTAATTCTATTTCCGTACGCAAACAACCAGGCAGAAAATATAATGGTAAAAATATCCTATGTGTAATAACAGCAAAAAAAAGAAAAAAGAACTGAGAATAAATTCAATAAAAATTTTATTATTCTGGCCAGGCACGGTGACTCACGCCTGTAATCCCAGCACTTTGGGAAGCCAAGGCGGGTGGATCGCTTGAGGTCAGGAGTTCAAGACCAGCCTGGGCAACATGGCGAAACCCCATCTCTACGAAAAATACAAAAATTAGCTGAGTGTGGTGGCAGGCGCCTGTAATCCCAGCTACTCTGAAGGCTGAGGCAGGAGGATCACTTGAACCCGGGAGGCAGAGGTTGCAGTGAGCCGAGATCACACCACTGTACTCCAGCCTGGGCGACACAGCGACACTCCATGTCAAAGAAAAAAAAATTTTATATATATATATATATATATATATATATATATATATATATATATATTTCTACTGGAGTACATAAAAAGAAAACTTGAAATAATAGAAAGATATATTTGTGAATAGGAAGTTTCTATGTAATAAAAATGTCAAATCTCCCTAAATTAAAACTTTATCGTGACCCTAAGAAAAGTTCCAAAAAGACTTTGGAGAACTAGAAAACTTGATCTTAAGTTTATATGGAATTATAAGGTTCCAATAAAATCAAAGAAATAGCATAAAATGCCCCTAACCTGAAGGTCACATATATCAAGGTTAAAGAATCATTGAAGGTCCAAAACAATGAAAGCAATTGTTTAAACTCATGCCAAGATATATCAACAAATTTCAGATCAACTGTATATACATTCTATTCTCTTATTGTTAGTAATAATTTTCAATGGACATTCTTTGTGTTTCCAAGTATGCAATCATAACATCTGCATATAATGAAATATTTGCCTTTGGTCTTGCAGGGAACAGGTTGTTTCCTGCACAACATCTTTTAAGTCTTTGATGCTGGCATATGCGGATCATAAATACTTCCGGGAAAAAAAAAACAGATCAGCAAAAAAAAAAACATGATCAACTACAAAAGCTCAAGAATCAAAATGGTAACTCTGGATGCTAGAAGACAGCGGAGTGATGCCCTCAAAATTCTGTGGAAATAAATATTTTCAACACAGAATTTCCAGCCAAACTAGTCATCTAGTGTAGGGGAGAATAGAGACATTTTCAGATGTGAAAGGACTTAACACATTTGTCTTCCATCCTTCCTTAAGAAGCTACTGGGGGGTGAGCTCCAGCAAAACTCAGGAGTAAGTCAAGAACAAGGAGTTCATGGGATCCAGAAAATCACAGATGTTACCCAAAAAAGAAGTCTGGGGAATACAGCTGTGCTAAGCAGGCCTAGAAAGTAACAAGGCCAAATTGAAGCAAAAAGAAATCAGGCTCCAATGAGTTTGGTACCAGGAAAATAGTAGCCCTCATAGAACATAAGGGAAAAAATGAGACTGTGTATATGAGGAAGAAGGCAAATTAAAGTGAAGGTAATTAGTCATTCCAGGGAAAACGTAAAGTTGTACAAGAAAGGACATAAAATTCTACTTAATTTTATAGTAAACAAGATTTATATCATTATAATGACCAGTATACTGACTGCCACATAACTCAAAATACTGTTATATTTTGGGAAGATGAAGAAAGGGAATAGGGTTAAGAGAACTAATTCCATCACTAGTCATTACAGAAATGCAAATAAAAACCACAATGAGATACCATCTCACACCACTTAGAATGGCGATCATTAAAAAGTCAGGAAACAACAGGTGCTGGAGAGGTTGTGTAGAAATAGGAATGCTTTTACACTGTTGGTAGGAGTGTAAATTAGTTCAACCATTGTGGAAGACAGTGTGGCGATTCCTTTAGGATCTCCATTTGACCCAGCAATCCCATTACTGGGTATATACCCAAAGGATTATAAATCATTCTACTATAAAGACACATGCACACATATGTTTAGTGCGGCACTGTTCACAATAGCAAAGACTTGGAACCAACCCAAATGCCCATCAATGATAGACTGGATAAAGAAAATGTGGCACATATTCACCAGGGAATACTATGCAGCCATAAAAAAAGGATGAGTTCATGTCCTTTGCAGGGACATGGATGAAGCTAGAAACCATCATTCTCAGCAAACTAACGTAAGAACAGAAAACCAAACACCATGTGTTCTCACTCATAAATGGGAGTTGAACAATGAGAAACAATGGACACAGGGAGGGGAATAACACACACTGGGGTCTGTCGGTGGGATGGGGGGCTAGGGGAGGGATAGCATTAGTAGAATACCTAATGTAGATGACGGGTTGATGGGTGCAGCAAACCACCATGGCACATGTATACCTATGTAACAAACCTGCACGTTCCGCACATGTACCCCAGAACTTAAAGGATAATTTAAAAAAAAAAAAGAAAATGTAGTATATATAACCATGGAATACTACTTAGCCATATAAAAAGGACAAAATATGTTTTGTGCAGCAACTTGGATAGAGCTGGAGGCCATTATTCTAAATGAAGTAATTCAGGAATGGAACACCAAATACCATATGTTCTCACTTATAAGTGGGAGCTAAGCTATGGGTACGCAAAAGCATACAGAGTGGTATAACGAGCTATGTAGACTAAGAAGTGGGAGGGTGAGAGGGGGTGAGGGAGAAAATACTACATATTTGGTACAATGTACGCTACCTGGGTGATGGATGCACTAAACTCTCAGACTTCATGACTATGCCGTTCATCCATGTAACCAAAATCCACTTGTACCCCAGAAGCTATTGAAATTTAAAAAAAAAAAATTTCAACCAAAATGCTCTGGTGCATAGAAAAATGTTCTTATAAGTTCTTGTGCTGTACCATTTAATTTTTTTTTCGGTTTTATTGAGGTACAACTGACAAAATTGTATAAATGTTGTTTTAAAAGTCAGCAGGAAACAAAAGTCAGTAGAAGCTTTTGCAATGTCGGTTTTACTTTCGCGTCACTGCTACTCTTCCCATGTTCATGAAATGGTCAGGTATTTTAGGTTATCAGCATAACCCAGGTTTCCATACACCACTTTTGTCTTTAATAAACAGGGTTCTGTAGTAGACACCCATTGGGAACGTGCCAGCTCACAAGAACCCTTTAACAGCCCCCCATCACCCACAGGGCTATCTGTGGCACCCACAAGTCCAGCCCACTGGGTGGAGTTGATCAGAGTAGGAGGTCATCACCTGACCCTCTTGGGCTGATCAGAGTCTCCCTCATGGGACTCTGGAATAGAACCAGACACTAGCCCTGGACTCCCTCTTAAATGAGGGAGATGTGGATTCATGTGATACAGAAAGGTTCTCCCCAGAGAAACTGAGAAAGCTGCTCTGTTAGTCTGGGTCCAATCAGGAGAGAGAAGCCACACAGTAACTTGCATAGGAAGGTTTCATATAAAGAATTCTTTAGCAGGGGATTGGAGTACTGAGGGATTGGCTACTAATAAGCGAAGACAACTCTAACAGATACAGGAATAGCGGAAATAAGGAGCAGCCTCCACCCCTAAGGGTAAGATAGAGCATCCAAGGAAGAGCTGCCCGCCCCCACCGCCAGGACTATGCTACGATCCAGCCCTGGATGGCCTTGGGTCACTGGATGGAAAAGTCGCTGTGGTGCCACACCAGTAAAGCATACTGAAAATCCACCCTCTGTTCATGGGGAGGTGTCTCACTGGAGGTACTGTGCTGCAAGACCACTGGGGCACTGTGGTGGGGACCAGCAGACAGGAAGGAGTTGCTGGCAGGAGAAGCAGCTAGCCACGGGGCGCGGCTGTGTGTCATGCCCTGCAGGGGGTGGGCACTGGAGAGGCTGGGGATGGGCAGGGGAGGGGTGCTGGAAAGGCTGTGTGCCCTGAAAGAACCTGGTGCTGGCAGAGGTGCCCACCCTGCAGGAACCAGACCCCCAGATGCAGCATGTGCTACAAGAGCCAAGTGGGAATTAAGAGGTTGCCAAGCAAGCACGGGAGAACCGGGAGATAAAACTCTGTCCCTCCTGCAGTGTCTCTCTGGCGCCCTCTACTGACAAAGCGCAACACGGTGCCGCTGACAAAGGAAACATATTGAAGGGCCCAGATCCATTTTCACAGTCCAGACAGTGAAGGGAAAATCTGGTGCTGAGATCAGCTCAGCTGGTCCTCAAGGAAAGAATAAAGCTACACAAAAAGTCATCCCAAATCCATAAAGACAATGCCAACAACCCAATAGAAAGAAAATAAATACAGAGAAGCACAGAGAAAAAAGCAGAAGCCAAAAAAAAAAAAAACAGAAAGCAGAGGCAAGAGACTGCCTGAGGGCTGACAACCTTTGCTGTCCTTCATGTGGCACAGATGCATCCCTGTCCTTTGATTCCAGGAGACACTCCTGTATCTTTTTAACAAATGCTCCCCTTTTTGGCTTAAAGTAGTTTGAACTGGGTTCAACCCCTGCAACAAAGTCATCGTAGTTAATACTAGCTGGCAATAAAATGTCACTAAATTAAAATCTCAGATAACATTAACATTGCTGAGTCCTTGTAGTAGGTTACAGTTGTTTGTCTCTGCTAGAGTTTTATCCTTCCTAGTTTTAGAAACTCTCTTTCTTAGTGGAAAATTCTGTAACTAAAAAAGGTAAAATCGTTTCCATTATATTCACTATTGCACTTTCAGTGGCATAGTTGGATTTTATCTGGACCCCATTGTCCATATTCCCTGGATTTTTCCTCATATTTCTTACTAGTGATAAGTTCTTATAAAACCCAACAATCGGCATTTTAGAACAAGGCCATAAAGACTTCCTTGCTGGTCTAATATTTAATTTTTTAATGGAATGTCTTGCAGGAGGATCCATAAAATTCATTTGACCCAATAATTTGAGCAAGCGTTCTACCATCTTTCTTATGAAGTGTCTGTGCCTTTCCTAGTACAGCCTCACTGGTGTGTGTATGATCATTCATTTGTACATTTTTATGTGGAGCTGGTTATGTTGCAGTTTGTTTTTATTAGTCCTTTGATATGAGCTGCTTTGTGTTATTATTTCACTCGATGGAGTCACTCATCAACTCATCCTTTTTTTTTTTTTTTTTTTTTTTTCTTTTCTGAGATAGAGTCTCGCTCTGTCACCCAGGCTGGAGTGCAGTGGTGCGATCTCGGCTCACTGCAACCTCCACCTCCTGGGTTCAAGCAATTCTCTGCCTCAGCCTCCCGAGTAGCTGGGATTACAGGCTCCCGCCACCACGCCCAGCTAATTTTTGTATTTTTAGTAGAGACGGGGTTTCACCATCTTGGCCATGCTGGTCTTGAACTCTTGACCTTGTGATCCACCCGTCTCGGCCTCCCAAAGTGCTGGGATTACAGGCGTGAGCCACCGTGCCCAGCCCTGAACTTTCCTTAGAACTGCACCCCATCTAAGAGGCCTTCACGCAACCTCCCTCACTCCCATCTCTCCTCCGTGCAGGGTCAGACCTGCATCACAGCCTGACAGCTTTTCCAGCCTCCTCCATATCCCACCTCCTCCGTTTTCACTCACAGGCCCTTCTCCTAATAATTTGTTGACGCTGTCTTGGTGTCTGCTTCTCAGACTCCCCAGACTCACCAGCGCTCTCCCCTGGGGCAGTATCAAAATGAGATGCCCCTTTGGCCCTTCTGCACCCCACCCTACCACACCAGGACAAAGAGGGGCACTGGTGTGAGAACTGACCAGCCATTTGTCAAAGAAAAATCACACCAGACAGAGTTAAATAGGCAAGGAAGATTTTACTCAAGACTACTGCAAAGGGGACAAAGACTGAACTCAACTTTGACACGTCAGGGACAGTTGCAGATTTATAGCCGATGGGCAGAGTGAGGAGTTTCCTTAGATGGGAAATTACTAAGAGGAGCCTAGGTATCAAGGGTGGGGGACGAGCAACTTGATCAAATATCAAGGGCAGGGCGATATTCACACTGGTTTATAAGATTCTTTGCTAAAACTGCCTTGGCAAACCAAGGACAGGTCGAGTGTGAGGCCTCATTGAAGAGACGGCCAGAGGATCCTGACTGAAGTACGGTCAAGGAGGGCGTCTTTGCCACGTCCCAAGCCAAGATCTGTACCCACCAGGCTTGCCCACCCCAGGAAATGGGTGAGAAGGGCTTTGCGTGGAATGTGAAGTTTACCACAAACAGGGCTGCGTCTGAACACACAAGAGACTGTTGTAATAACTGTTGTATTAACTGAGGATCACTGCAAGCTTAGGGAACTGGACCGCAATGTTGTTGTTAGAATAGAACCAGGGGACACCGAAGGTTGGTCAGAGCGCATGTGGGAGAGGGCATGGCTGGACACAGGGAGCACTCCAAAAACGAGACTGAGGGAAAATCTGAGCGCGGGCTGACCAGACTCCTCATGAAAGCTTTTCCCCCACGGAGCAGGCAAAACAGTGCCCCCACCCCCACCCCCACCCCCAAAATGTCCAGTGACTGCTACAAGCTGTTAGACGCTGAGTGGAAAAAACAGATTTTAAGAGTCCTAAAACTGAGCCCCAACCTGGAGGCGTGCCCACCTCGGGAGAAAGAACACCTGACCACAGACACCTAGACCGATCAGGGAGCTTTCAGAACCCTAGGAGAGCCTGCAGGCTTGGAGGGACAATACCGACCAGCATAGCTGATGACTTCCATGCCTCCTACATTTCCCACAGAGACAGGACATGTTCCACCTCCACAAAGTGTCCAGATATAGGTAACCTCACATTTTCTGGGAGGAAGGGTTGAACCCAGGAAGCAGCCGAACCGTGAGGTACAGATGGGCACAGAGAGTTTGTGTGAAAGATGAAGCTTGACTTGCAGCCAAGGGGACTCAACAGGTGGAATCTAACACCCGAGAAATAAGACATCTGTAACCGTGGGCTCAGACAGGCACCACTTGGCACAGCATGATGGCAGAAGCGTGGGATGCTGGACACATGGGTTCCAGGACAGGGGCTCCAAGCTGGGCAGGGAAACCAGAGAGAGCCAGGATGCACTTTTCCTGATACATTTCTGTGCATCTAGAACCTTCCAAGTCTGGAACTTCCTTTCATATTGAGCTCAGCATATGAGATTTGGATCCCAAACTGAAATTTGAAACTGATCCCTTAAGTGAAACGGGAATAATACATGCCTTCGTGGGCTTTTCAGATGACTAAATTAGATGATCATTGTGAGTTCTGGGCTGGGGCAGTGGCTCACACCTGTCATCCCAGTGCTTTGGGAGGCCGAGGCAGGCGGATTACCTGAGGTCAGGAGTTCGAGACCAGCCTGGCCAACTTGGTAAAACCCCGTCTCTACTAAAAATACAAAAAATTAGCTGGGCGTGGTGGCACATGCCTGTAGTCCCAGCTACCGGGGAGGCTGAGGCAGGAGAATTGCTTGAACCTGGGAGGCAGAGGTTGCAGTGAGCTGAGATTGTGCCACTGCACTCCAGCCTGGGCGACAGAGTGAGACTCCATCTCAAAAAAAAAAAAAAAAAGTGAGTTCTGCTACGGCAGTTGTGTTGAAAATGGAAATGGAGTCCAATGTAGTTGATATAATAGGAAACAATCGGAGTATCATGGAAGTTGCCCTTTAGCTTACGCTCCTCATCCATGAGAAATATTAGGTGAGTGCCAAAACCGGCAGCCAGCTAAATCAAGCTGCACAGGGACACACAAAATACACATACACCTCCAACATCTGCCAGCTGCCTCAATACACCATGTGCCGGGGGCCATACCCATCCACCTCTGCTGTTACTGTCCATCCAATTTCAGAAAAGCTCTCTTTCCACCGCTTCACAACCTGCCAACAACCGATTCCACAAGCAAACTTCCCATCTTATTAAAGCTAAACTGCCTTTATTGTAGCCCTTATGTATTTCTCAATCATTTAACACGTGTAAAATTGTTATCAAGTTCCTGTCTTTTTATTTTTACGTCACTGACAAAGTGTTTGAGTGTTACGTCCCTAACCCCATTGTTTGCCATAAGCCCTGTGGTTGCACCATCTCCCATGGTGTATGTTTAGGAAGTGCCATGTTGTGTGATAACAGAACTGACAACCCAGGGAAAACACCGAGCATATGGTGAGCTTTCAGTGTCAGTTGCTCGTATTATTATTATTATCGAACCTCTGGTGCTTGCATAACACTTGCCATTTCTCAAAGCTCTTTCCCAATAAATTCATTTTTCTCCTCATGCTAGCTATGTGAATTATTGTTCTAATTATACACAAAAGAAAATGCAAATCATGGGGAGTTAATGAATTTGCCCAAGACCACAAAAGGAAGTCATGGCGGAATCTTTTTTTTTTTTTTTTTTTTTTTTGAGATGGAGTCTCGCTCTGTCACCCGGGCTGGAGTGCAATGGCAAGATTTCAGCTCACTGCAACCTCTGCCTCCCAGGTTCAGGTGATTCTTGCAGCTCAACCTCCCGAGTAGCTAGTATTACAGGCACCTGCCACCAGGCCCAGCTAATTTTTGTATTTTTAGTAGAGACGGGGTTTCACCATGTTGGCCAGGCTGGTCTTGAACTCTTGACCTCAAGTGATCCGCCCGCCTCAGCCTTCCAAAGTGCTGGGATTACAGGCATGAGCCACCGCGCTCGATCAGCAGATTCTTAAACACCTGTTCCTTGCCTTCAAATTTATTCAGGAAAAAAAAAATGCAGATATTACTTCAAGCTGTACAGCCAAGCAGTGTAAAGCAAAGTGTATGTGAGAACAGGGCCATTCAGGAGTCAGAGGAGGACGGGAAGAGAGAGCATGCAACCGTGAGGGAAACCTGGAAGGAGTGAGTGAGGAATCTGAGAAGCAGGCAGAGGGAGAACACCGCAGGATGGACACGAATCACTGAACAGCCAGGCTCTCAAACTCAGCCATGACAGAGACCAACAGATAACAGGAATGAGTGAAATCTTCCAGGTGTAAACAGTAGGGGACGGTGGAGACTGTGGGACACTCAAGGTCCCAGTCAAAAGGGAAAGATTCCAGTGAACTCTAACCAACTCATGCCTGAGGAGTAGATTCAGCATCTGATTTTTATTTATTTATTTATTTATTTATTTATTTCCCGAGACAGAGTCTCCCTCTGTCACCCAGGCTGGAGTGCAGTGGCACGATCTTGGCTCACTGCAACCTCTGCCTCCCAGGTTCAAGTGATTCTCCTGCCTCAGCCTCCCGAGTAGCTGGGACTACAGGCACCTGCCACCACGCCCGGCTACTTTTTTTTTGTATTTTTAGCAGAGATGGGTTTTCACCATGTTAGCCAGGATAGTCTTGATCTCCTGACCTCGTGATCCGCCCACCTCGGCCTCCCAAAGTGCTGGGATTACAGGCATGAGACACCACGCCCGGCCCTGATTTTTTAAAAGCAGCAGAATTTGGGATTTATGTAAAATTTCTTTTTTTTTTTTTTTTTTTTTTTTTGAGGCAGAGTCTTGCTCTGTGTCGCCCTGGCTGGAGTGCAGTGGCGCAATCTTGGCTCACTGCAACCTCCGCCTCCCGAGTTCAAGAGATTCTCCTGCCTCCTGAGTAGCTGGGATTACAGGTGCCTGCCACCACACCTGGCTAAATTTTGTGTTTTTAGTAGAGACAGGGTTTCACTATGTTGGCCAGGCTGGTCTCGAAAGCCTGACCTGAAGTGATCCGCCCACCTCAGCCTCCCAAAGTGCTGGAATTACAGGCGTGAGCCACTGCGCAGAGCTTTTTTGTTGCTGTTGTTGTTTTGAAACACAGTATCACTGTCGCCCAGGCTGGTGTGCACCGCTGCAATCACAGATCACTGCAGCCTTGACTTCCCAGGCTCAAGTGATCCTCCCATCTCAGCCTCCTGAGTACCTGGGACCACAGGTACGTGCCACCTGCCCAGCTAATTTTTTAGGGGTTTTTTGGGGTTTTGGTTGTTTTTTGTTTTTTTTTTTTTTTTTTTTTTGGTACACATCGGGCCTCACTATGTTGCCCAGTCTGGTCTCAAACCCTTAGGCTGAAGAGATCCTCCTGCCTCAGCCTCCCAAAATGTTAGGATTCTGGGTGGGAGCTACCACGCCCGGCCACTTTTCTAATTGTCGTCAGTTTTTTAAACATCAACAATTAATGTAAATGTTTAAAAATACATCTCAGACTAAAGTAACACATCTATTGGCCAGAGAATATGCAACTTCCAGTGAACTGAACAGTGACCCCCAGGCCCAGGGCCCCATGCAAAGAACTCTGAACACTGATGGACACAAAATATGTTATTTATTGTCAATTTCTGCAAAGACACATTTAAGCAACAAAATATACATTTGTCAACCTTTTAGAATTTGTTTTGTACATTAACAAATACAATGTGCTACCATAGCAATAAATTAAATGTACATTATTTACATTACATAGGCAGTTGGGATCTACGAATCACCTCCTCACTAAGAGGAAAGAAAGCAAAGTCGTCGTCACATGGAGCATCACTTCCAAGCCACAGTTCTTAGGTTCGACCACACAGGGGAATCTGCACATTCACACGCCAGCAGTCCCCGAGCTGGAGTGTCCAAGGGGAACACCCAAAACAGGAGAGAGCTGCACGCATGCTAAGGAGCAGGAAGCGGGGGGGGGGGGGTAGTTCACACTTCCAAGCAGAAATGTCACAAAATCAAAGACGATGGCAATTAAATTCCAGTCTTCCAGCCAAATGCCCCCCTCCCCAGGGCTGGTAAGGCACAGGACAGAGCCGCTGCCCCACAGCCTCTCACTCGGCAGGGCTCTGCTGCCCTTGGCCCTAGTGGGGCTTGTCTTCTTCCTCCCAAAGGGGCACACGGTCCAGCTGAAGGGAGGGAGACATGGGATTGGGGTGTACAAGGGGCTGGCGGTAAAACAGAGTTTGGTAAAAGAATACCCCAGCCAGCCCCACCAGGCTGCAGGATCAGGCTTGGCAAACTTTACTGGCCTCCCCTTGCCTCGATACAGGGTAGCTAGAGGCTGGGGGAGGAGCCGAGGGGTCCTGAGCATGGCTGACTGGCCTGGTCCCTGCTGGCCTCCTGTACCCATGAGATCTACTCGAACCCCCAACTGCTTAAAACAGATCTGTCTCTACTGACTTAGAAACCAATGAGAAAGGTAGTGTTTGAGTTGGCACCTGGCAGGGTCAGGGAGGAAAGCGAAACAGGCTCTTGTCCTGCCTTGTCACGGGAGCCTGAGTTTCTATTAACCACCTTCGTTTAAGAATCAGGGAGAAATGAAGAGTTTTTCTTTGACCACTTTTCCTCTTAATTTAGGAAAAGGGAAGCTGAGGGTGGGTGAACAGCATCTTTTTCCCTGGCCTCTGCCCCCATTACACAGCCCCCATCAGGAGCTGAAGAACCGATCCCACTGAGGAATAGTTCACTGAATCCCTTTCCCTCCTCGTTTTCTTGGTTCAAGCTGCATCCAAAGCCCAAGGGTCCTCACTGAAAAATCCTAGAGACTATCCCCCCTGATGAAAAAGAGCAGAAACTGCAGCCTCACCAGCATCCTTGACTGCTCACCTCCATGCCAGTGCCAAAGCAGCAGCTAACTGGCTTCCCCAAAACCCAGGGCCCCAGGAAACGCAGCCACTTATTCAACCAACCATGTAGGCGCTGCAGAGGAAGGGACCCTGGGTTGAGGGTTCTAATCCCAGCTTTGCCAACAGCCAGCTGTGTGACCTCAAGCAAGTTACTCCCCTCACCTGGGCTAAGATTTCTCATCTGGACGATGACATGGTTGGATGAGATGCTAAAAAGAGCCAGCAGGCTTGTGTTGAGATGATGCTGACAAAGCTGAACCACTGAATCTTTTTCAAGAAACGTCATTTTACATGATTGGCATAGACAGACACTCTCATTAAGACCTTCCATCGCGAGCTTTTCTGCACCTGTTTTTAAGCGTCAACTGAGCTGGAGGCATATGGGTGACCCTACAGTGCCTGAAAAGTAGTTTCTTCAGTGAGTCAGGCAGTTCCCAGAGCCAGAGATGTGTCCCGGAAAACATCCCCTCGTGGAGATCACAGTGGAAATGCCTCAAACACCAGCGTGAGCACCATCTAGATGAGCCTAGTCACGAGGGCCAATGAGGTTTGGGCAAATCTTTGAGCCCCAAGACTGGGCGCAGCATAAAAGGAAAGACATTTTAGATCAGAGCAGATGTAGGGACAGCGTGGGGGAAACAGCCCTCCAGGAACCCGAGCTGCCCGCCCCGTGGTCTAGGGGAGGGAGGGGAGGCTGGGCCATCCTTGTTCTCCTCCTCCCTCTCAGCACTGCCCGGGTGGGCTGGAAGTGCACACTCTGGAAGCCACAGGATGGAGCTCCTAGAGATAGTGAGGCATGACCAGAGGGAAGAGGCATTTGGGGTCCTGTTCAGATCATTCCAACAGCAAACCGGGCATGGAGACCCCATCTCAGGTCTGTGCTTCTCTGGGGGCCACCCAGCCATCCTGCCCACCAGCTCAGAGGCAGGGACAAAGCCCTCCCAAGAGGCAGCAGGCAGCAAGGGTCAGCCAGCGCAGTGGGGACAGGCAGGTATGGGATTCCCAAATGGGACAGCATGGTGACAACCTGGAAACCCCAAAGGACCCCAGATGGCAATGTGACACGGCCCATCCACCAAGCACCTGTAATGCCGGCTTCCCACAGAGGCGAGCCAGATCCTGCAACTGTTCTTAAAGAAATGCAGTTTGACCTTGCCAGTGCCTCCAGAAGCCCAGCCAACAAAACGCGTCCAGAACGTACAGGCCTCTTTCCAGCCGTGGGGGCTGCTACGGTGACTCTTCATAAAAGCTAAACAGATATTTTGTTGACCTTCTAACAAGAATAAATTTTACTAGACTAGTACTTTAGAGAAAGTACTAGCAAAGGGAGAGCTCCTCTCCAGCTTGCAAACAGGACTCAATCATTCCCACACACGTGGCGGGGAAGAAAGATCACAATGTTGCTTGAATGGCAAAAGCTATAGGGAGAATTTCACAATGTCAGTTAAAAAAAAAAAAAAAAAGTGTAGTATTTATATCTTGGGCACAGGTCCAGATCCCTATGGGAATAAAGCATTCAGCTGGAAATCCTTGTCATTGGTCGTGGGGCAGGTGCCCAGCCAGTGTCACTCTGCAGCCCCGTCTGCACTGAAAGGGGCTCTTCAGGCTCGTTGTACCTGGAGGATGCCCACCTTAACCCCAACCCGGGCCCATCGGCAGAGAAGCCCACGGCGCTGCAGACTCGGAAGGGGGAGAAGCCAGGAGGGGATGTCCTTGGAGGTGAGCTGGCTGTCCCAGCAAGGGGGCTCTGTGGAGGGTGGGGGTGGCATGTGGGTCACAGGGTCTGACCCACACCCAGATGGGGTCCAGGTTGCAGAAACCCTTCAGATGTGACAGCTGCCTACAGACCCGCAGCTGGAGAGGGGAACAGGATTGGGGGGTTGAGCCCCAGACGCAGCTGCCCAAGGGCACAGTAGCTGGAAAAGGCCCCAGGGCCAGGCTGGGCCCCCCAAGACTCCAGGGGCGTAAGCTGCTGAGGGACACTGTGCCCCTTCCCCACCCAGGGGCCTGATCAGAACCCGCAAGTCATCCCCCCCTCACCTCTCTCCTCGAGTAAGTGGGGAGGGGAGATAACGACGTCTTCCTTGAACCCCCATTGTCAGCAGAGACCTGGGCTCCGGCCTGGCCCTCAGGCCCGAGGTTTTCCTCAACCAACACAGCAGCATCTCAGCACTGGCTCCTTTGCTCTCCCTGAATTCCTTCTCACTCCTGGCTTCCCACCCCTTTGTGGGAAAATATCTTCTCAAAGGGAAGAGACTGCCTCGGGGCTGCCCCTCCCTCCCCTCACCCCACAGCAGCCATAATCAGGAGAAACCGGGTGGGACCCAAAGTCCCCGCCTCAGTCCAGGAAGTGTGCAGCGCAGTTCTGGCCCGTCCAGCTCTGGCTCTGAGCTTGAACTGGCTGGAGCCCCGCTCACGGTACACTGGCAGCAGGGGCAGGGCAGCCCTGGGCCTACGTCAGCAGATGGGAAAGGCGTTCAGCACAGAAGCAGATAGACGGTTTAGAGCTCCAGAGCTACGGGGGCAATAGCGCCGAATTTTATCAGGATGGCCTCAAGGATGCTACGAATCTTGGCTCCTGGGAACATGGGGCCTCCACCACCGAGTGCGTTCCTGGTAGTAAAGCCTGCCACGTTCAGGAAGGCACTGCCCTGTGGCCAAGACCCTCACCGAGGCTCTGCTCCCACCCCCTACTCTGTCTCTGAGGCAGACCAGCTCCCCAGTCACTGCTGAGCTCCCCCCAGATCCCCCTTTGCCCGACACTTTTCCTCTCCAGGATGAATAGGATGATAAAGGACCCGGACATCACACTGGGAGGTCAGGAGCAGGAGGAACCTGAGGAAGGAGGCCTCGTCCAGAGATGGGAGGGGCTGGGAGGGCATGTAGGTGAGGGCGGAGGCAGGGCTGTGGCCAGACTGGGACACCTGGACCAACAGCACATCTGTGGGCACGTGGCCATGGGGCAGCAGGGCTGGGACTGTCAGGGTCGTGGACGGCACTCCCAAACTGCTGGTACAGGAGCCTTTTCCAGGACAGAAGAGGGGATTCCCTGAGGAGACAAGGAGGAGGCGGCGATGAGCGAACATTCCGTACAGGAAGGAGGGGACGACGCGGACGTCGGGAGCAAGGGGTGGGGAACACGCCTGCCCATGGCTACAGCTCACTGGATACACTCAGGAGCAGGAGGGCACCTGATGTAAGGGTGCCCCACCTTGCGTGGCCCGAGAAGCTGCGCATAGCCACGGCTTTGGTGGGCAGTGGCGTCCAGAGTGCGTGATGGGAGCCGGGGGTGAAGGTCCATATGCCCATTTGTCTTCTGCTTTTTCATAAATCAGGTTGAACACAGAGTGGGTTCGGTTGTACCCCTCCTCTTGGCTCCAGCTGTGACTCTGACCCCTGAAGCCCCATGTGGGGAGAGGGCTGGGAGCTCAGATGGGTCTCTGGTGACTTCCCCAGCAGAAATCCAGGCCTTGATGGGGGCGAGCTGGACCCACGGCCACTCTGCTCAAACCACGTGCCCCCTCAAAGCAGGCAGGGGAAGAGGCCTCCTGGGGTGGTCCCTCACAGTGCTGACTCCCGACAGGGAGGGAGAACACACCTCAGCCCAGGGCCTCCGCCAAAGACACAAGGAGGGAACAGCTGCCTGAGGGCAGGGGAGCAAGGGAGCCCTCAGGAACTCCTCCCTCCTGGGTCAGAAGCGGGCTTGGGCGACTCCCCTTCTGCCTGCGGGAACCAGACCCCATCGGTGGAAGGGAGGCCTAACTAGTACGTCTAGTCCAGTGTCACTGGGAACCCCCTTCCCATCCGCACACAGGCCATCTGCCCCTCCTTCCCCATTGCAGGTCTTCAGGGGCGAGTAGGAGACTCTTTGGACATCCCCAGCTGGCGGCATCTCTCCGGCCATTCTGAGGTTACAAGGCCTCTAGTTCCCTGATCTAAAAGAAACACACGTCCCCCCTCACGGCCACAGCAGGACATTCACTCAACCCACCTTGGACAGGCGAAGGACTCCACTTTCACATTAGTGACCCTGTTTCAACAAAAATCCATACAGGAGTTTAAATAACCAGACAGCACAGGTCCCTTCCACGGCGGCTCTGTGCACTCAGCTCTCAACAGTCTGGTGAGCTCAGGAAGGGATTCAGGACCCCAGGAACAAGCACTTCCCACCTCACATCTGGACCTGGAGTTCTCGATAGTCTGGCGAGCTCAGAAAGGGACTGGGGGACCCGGGAACCAGCCCTTCCCACCTCACATCTGGACCTGGAGCTCTCGATAGTCTGGAGAGCTCAGGAAGGGATTCGGGACCCAGGAACCAGCCCTTCCCACCTCACATCTGGACCTGGAGCTCTCGATAGTCTGAAGAGCTCAGGAAGGGATTCGGGACCCAAGAACCAGCCCTTCCCACCTCACAACTGGGCCTGGAGCTCTCGATAGTCTGGAGAGCTCAGGAAGGGACTGGGGGACCCAGGAACCAGCACCTTCCACCTCACATCTGGACCTGGAGCTCTCGATAGTCTGGTGAGCTCAGGAAGGGATTCGGGACCCAGGAACCAGCCCTTCCCACATCACATCTGGACCTGGAGCTCTCGATAGTCTGGAGAGCTCAGGAAGGGACTGGGGGACCCAGGAACCAGCCCTTCCCACCTCACATCTGGACCTGGAGCTCTCGATAGTCTGGTGAGCTCAGGAAGGGATTCGGGACCCAGGAACCAGCCCTTCCCACCTCACATCTGGACCTGGAGTTCTCGATAGTCTGGCGAGCTCAGAAAGGGACTGGGGGACCCAGGAACCAGCCTTTCTCACCTCACATCTGGACCTGGAGCTCTTGATAGTCTGGTGAGCTCAGGAAGGGATTCGGGACCCAGGAACCAGCCCTTCCCACCTCACATCTGGACCTGGAGTTCTCCATAGTCTGGCGAGCTCAGAAAGGGACTGGGGGACCCAGGAACCAGCACCTTCCACCTCACATCTGGACCTGGAGCTCTCGATAGTCTGGAGAGCTCAGGAAGGGACTGGGGGACCCAGGAACCAGCACCTTCCACCTCACATCTGGACCTGGAGCTCTCGATAGTCTGGTGAGCTCAGGAAGGGACTGGGGGACCCAGGAACCAGCCCTTCCCACCTCACAACTGGGCCTGGAGCTCTCGATAGTCTGGAGAGCTCAGGAAGGGACTGGGGGACCCAGGAACCAGCACCTCCCACCTCACATCTGGGCCTGGCCGTGTCCAGAGGTGTAGCTCCACCTTGGGAGTTGTGGCAAAGGTGGCTGGAACCCGGAGACACGGCCTGCACCTGCTGGAGCCAGACGTCCCCAGAGCTTCCCCTGCCTCCTTCGGGGAGCCCCCTCTGGGATGTCTGAACCCTCTTCCTCTGGCCTCAGGAAGGAAGGCTGGGCCTCTGCAGAAAGTGGAGTGTGGGGTGTGGGAGGCGCATCCTTACCGCACCAGAGCTGGCATGGCTGAGCTTGTCAAAGCGGAATTTCAGGTTCGATCTCGGGGAGTTTCTGCTTTTGGCATCTAAGAAAAAGAACGGCCATGAAAGGAGGGTGGAGCTGTGGAGGCCACTGGGGCTGTGTGTGGGGACTGGCTAGGGAGGCCAGGGGAAGGGGGCCTCCTGCCCTCCACCAGGACCAGGCACCCTAGCTGACCTGTGCCGACCCACGAGAGCCAACTCCTAGATTATAGAATTGTGGTGAGCTGGTTGTTCAACTCAGGCCATTTTTTAAAGTTGAATTATATATAAGCTTACAGTTCAATAAATTATATTCAACAGAGGTAATAAATACTTGAAATTCGTCACTTCCTACTTATTTTTCTCTGTTTTACGATTATCTGTGCTCTTACGTCTATTGTATCCATGTGGTAGAAACACCCTAAAGATGGTGGCTACAGTATATCTTCTTCCCAAGTCCACGTTCGAGGACATCACGTCAGTAGCTTGAGATCAGCCACGACAAGTGTATTTACACCACAGAAACTGGTACATGCTACAAATCATGACTTGATTGATTGTTTTGTTGTCTAGACTTAAGGAACTAATAGAAAAAAAGGAATTTACATGAAACTTCAAAACATGCTGTGTCTGCAGCGATTACATTGTGAATAGCACAAAAGAAAACTGAGGAAATATCCTTCCGGGGTTTGAAAACTTTTCTCGGATACAGCAAGGAAATGACTCATGTCACTGACGAATGAAGTTCTCTTAATACAAAATACTCATGGCCGGGCGCCATGAGAGTGAGTGTGTGTGTGTGTGTGTGTATAATATATATTATACATATGTATATACATATAACATATAATATATATGTATATATAATATATACATATATGTATATTATGTGTATCTATAACATATGTATATTATATGTATATACTATATATGTATATATAATATATACATATAAAATACTTATTAACAAACATGGTAATATCAGTCCACATTCATGTCAGAATTACACACATTCATCTCCTGCAGCCTTAAGTTGGCTACAGATAAAAAGGTGAAGCAAACACCACTAAAAGCATTCTGTGAGAATCAGTTGGACATATGGGACTTATGGTAAAGAATATTATCTAGTATTTGTACACTGGGTTTGACATCCATCGTATAATAAAATTCCGTTAAGTGTGTGTGAGTGGTGGCAGAGCCCGGTGTCAACATTTCCCGCTGTGCCCCGCTGGCAGGAGGGCCACTTGACTTTCTGGCTGTCCTCTGGCCGAGGGTATGGAAAGCTTAGTGCAGCCTTCCTGGAAGCTGCTGGCTGGTTCGTGGTGCTTCGAATCGAGGAGTTCCACCCAGGGCTACAACACCTCTGTGTAACCTATCAGTCCTCTTCTGTGCCCCAGGAAGCCCAGGTAGGAAATGACCATGATCAGATATCTGACATTATGGAGACTGTACGTCAGGACGTCAGGCCACCTCTCCCCACTCCACCCTGCCTCTCCCCAGACTCAGCCAAACAGCATGAAACCGGTTCCCAGATCCCCCCAAGCCCACCCTGATCCAGTGGGTACCAAGCACATCTTTCGTGGGCTGGGGGTGAAAAGCAGCCCATCGGGGTTAAATACTGTGTGGAGAAAAGGTGTGTAAGAGGCAGCCTCACCGTGTGGTGTGGGAAGCACCGGCCATAAGTCACCAGACCCGCTCCAGGTCCCTTCCGCCCTCGGTGACCTTCAGCAACCTGCAGAGACTCTCTAATTCCTTTACTCAAAACCTTCCTTACTTTGACGTTTATTTAACACCAAGTGGGGGCCAGGCTTGCTTACAGATTCTTTCATTCATTCCTTCAATATTTAAGTCTTATTTAGAAAACAAAACAAAACAAAACAAAAACACCAGGTCAGGCGCGGTGGCTCACGCCTGTAATCCCAGCACTTTGGGAGGCCGAGGTGGGTGGATCACGAGGTCAGGAGTTCGAGACCAGCCTGGCCAACATGGTGAAACTGTGTCTCTACTAAAAATAAAAAAATTAGCCGGGCATGTGGCACATGCCTGTAATCCCAGCTACTTGGAAGGCTGAGGCAGGTGAATCACTTGAACCTGGGAGGCGGAGGTTGCAGTGAGCCGAGATTGCGCCATTGCACTCCAGCCTGGGTGGCAGAGTGAGACTCCATCTCGAAAAAAAATCAGGGAATTTGTATTTCCACCCCCTTTTACAGATGAGGAAACTGAGGCTCAGAGACGTGGACCTGTCAATGCTACAACCAGGATTTGAACCCAGCTCCGCAGCTGCCCAACCACAGGGGGCTGAATGAGAGGAGGCACGTGAACTCTTCCACTCACTGAGAAACACGCATGCAAAGGGTCACTGGCTGTGGAATCACGATCTTCCCTTCATCTCTGACCCTGCAGGTTCCCTTTGCAACATCCCTTCGCTGTGTGAACCCCAGGAACATTTTGGCTTCAGCCACCCTGAAGGCCTGTTGGCCCTTCCTGTGTTTCTACCATTGAGACTAGAGTTTTTCAACCGAATGTCATTTGGGGTCAGAGAATTATTTGTCTGATGTGGCTAGGGGGCTGTCCTGTACATTGCTTATCAGCTTCCGTGACCTCTGCCCACTAGATGCCAGTAGCACCCCTCCAAAATTGTGAAAATTAAAAATGTCGCCAGACATTGCCAGACATCCATGGGGTAGCAAGACTGCCCCCGGCTCAGAACCGCTGACTACACTATTGTCTCATTCCCATTCTTTAACCAACACCGAGGTTAACAGTTCCAGGCCTCGTACAAGCATGAGCTCCTTTCATCTTCATACAACCAACCCTCTGAGGCAGACACGACTCTTCCCCTCCCTTCATTTTCTGCTTGGAGAAACTGAGGCACAGACAGGCTTGGTGACTCGCCCAATGACATGTCTAGTAAGCAGCAGACCCAGGATTTGGACCCAGGCTCAAAGTCCTGTGCTGCCCTCACGAGGGCAGAGACCCGGAGCACCCGCCCAGCAGTGCCCACCGCACAGGTCTACCTGAACGGCCCTCAGGTGCTGGCCCCCCTATTCTGACCAACTGCAGGGATCACAGAACCCCAAAACGCCCAGACTCCTGCTCTCTCTGAACCCCTGCTACTGAGCCCGTACATTTTACCTCCTTGATCTCTCCTGAACCGAGGTGCTTCTGCCGCAGCTCCCCTCCCCTCCTCTCCCCTCCCCTCCATCCCTCCCCTCTGCTCCTGCTCTCTACTAATCCATTCTACACTCAGCAGCTGCAGCAGCCAAAATGGACTTTCTCAACTCCAGATGGTGCTTCCCTACTTAAGAACCTTCAAACACTCCAACAGTGGCCGCTAGCAGAACAAAATCCTCACCCGGGGCCCGGGGCTGACCCAGCCTGTCAACGCTCCGGCCTCTCTGACGCCTGGCTCTGTGAACCCAGCTGCCATGAACACGTGCAGTTCCGGAATACCCGCTCTCTCCTCTCCTCTGGGCCTTTCCACATGCTGTTCCCTCCCCCTGCAGCCCTTCCCCCGTCTTGTATTATCAAGACCCCCGACATGACAGACGGGCCCTGGCAGCCCTGGAGCGCTGGCAGGTGGGGAGAAGGGTTGGAGCACTGGCAGGTGGGGAGAAGGGCTAATGGAAAGTGCTCAGCTTTCCCACTGCCAATCCCGACTCCTCCGCTGTGGGATCTCCCACAAGGCCTTCAACTCTCTGCCTCAGCTTCACAACTCTCAGTGTAAGAAGAGCTTAGGAACTTGGGCATCTTAAGGCTGATGAACAGAAGAGGCGGGCGCACAGAGCGGAGGGCCTCACAGCTGGGAGGAGGGGTGAAAACTGGCCAGTTCAGCGTGGCTGGGGCCCTGCTAACAGTGGACAGGGCACAGCCTGCCCTCCTGGTGACGTCACACACACCACCAGATGCCACTGACCTGTGGGACTCCGGCTCATGATGATCGGGGTGGCAGCTGCCCCCAGGCTGGGGCTCTCGCTGCTCGGGGACGGGCTGTAGACAAACACCTCCTGCTTGAAGGGTGAGGTCGTGGACGGCTGGCTGCCCTGAGGAGAGAGGCAGGGTGAGCGAGGCCAGCCCACCCTCGGCAGCTGCGCCCACGCAGGCCTGAGGCAGCCCCCAAAAGCCCAGGACAGCCGCTGCCTCCTGCTCCCCACTTGGGCCTGCTCTTTCTTTCCTGCTGACTTCAACCCTGGTTCCAAGCTATCCTGCTCCAAGAAGGACCTTTGACCCAGCCCCCTGGGGCACTGGCCACTCACCACTCCAGCCAGGAACCCCAAGGCAGGGCACCATCGGGTCTGGCCCCTGCCCTCTGCTGCTGCTATGTCACTCTGAGAGAGAGGTCCCCTCACCCACTGCGCCCAGGGGGTGGTGATGGCCAACGAGCCCACCTCTCGTTTCCATTCTTCCCCTTTCCTCTGCAAAGACTGACATGGGCTTCGATCCACAGTGCCGTTTTAATGCAAGGAGGGTGGCTGGCTGACGCCCCAGAGTGCCTGCCCAAGGGTGGACGGGGCACACCTACCCCACTGTCGCCCTCCTCCATGGCCTCGCCCTCCCCTGCAGTGCTGCTGACGCTGCTGGTGCTGGAGGAGGAGCGGGAGATGGCACGGCCGTTTTCCTTCAACTTCATGAAGGGCCTGCAGGGAATAGGAAGTGAGGCCAGCCCGGGTCACACGCGAGAGCCCTCCACCCCCAGGGTCCTCCCCGGGACCTCTGGCGGCTCCCCACGCCCCCACCCGTCGGCCTTTGTGTTCTGGAGAGTTCCAGAGGCAGGAGATGGCCACTCTCAGCTGGCCAGGAGGCAGAGGGCGTGTTCCAGGGCTCCACGTGGCCGAAGCTGGCCTTTCCCACCCTCACTCTCTTACTTCTCCTTGTTGGGGCAGATTTCCGGAGAGCTGGGATTGGATGAGGTCTCAGACTTTATCTCCTGAGAGGAGTGTCCACCATCTGGGGTCTTGGGTGTGCTGGATGTGCTGTCACTGAGGGAATGGAAATGAGGAGTGAGGCCGCGGAGACAGCCCTCAACCCCCACCCCATCCACGGCCCCAGGCAGAGCCTCTCTCGGCACGGTGAGGGGCAGTGGGGTCAGAGCGCCCCCGCCTGGCATCACTGCCTGGATGTCCTTTCCCACCTGAGCCCCCCAGAGATGGCGGCATACTACAGGGTTTCCCGGTCCCTACAACAGGGACTATTCTAGGTTCATGGTGAAGTCCAGAGCTGCCAAGCAGGAGTCCTGGCTTGACGGCCTCTAGCCCAGATCTCTCTCACCCAAGCTGGCCATCACACCTGGCGGAGTTGTGGGTCAAGAGAGGGCCCCGTGGGGAATGGAGCAGGGAATATGGCAGAGTCTATGACATCCGCCCCCACCGCAGGAACCACCCAATACACATGGACTCCTGGGAAGTCCCGGGGGGCCATCCTTCATATAGACTAGAATACGAGCTCCTGGTCCCACATGAGGAGGCTGCCCTGGGAGCTGGGAAGCAAGGGGTACTCTCAGCCAACAATATCCTTCTCCTTTAGTGTAACAAAGACCATGGACAGTGCCCACAGTGCTCCCTGTGCTGGCTGTTGGGGATGGGATGGCCGTGTCCTCAATGCACTTTTTTTGAGACTGAGTCTCGCTCTGTTGCCCAGGCTGGAGTGCAGTGGTGCGATCTTGGATTGCTGCAACCTCCGCCTCCCAGGTTCAAGTGATTCTCCTGCCTCAGCCTCCCAAGCAGCTGGGATTACAGGCGTATACCACCATGGCCAGCTAATTTTTGTACTTTTAGTAGAGATGGGGTTTCATTGCATTGGCCAAGCTGGTCTCGAACTCCTGACCTCAAGTCATCTGCCTGTATCGGGCTCCCAGAGTGCTGAGATTACAGGCGTGAGCCACCGCACCTGGCCGTCAATGTACTTTTTAAATAATAGTGTTCTTGAGACAGAATCTACACACCACAGAACTCACCTATTTAAAGTATACAATGCAATGGCTTTTAGTTTATTCAGAGTTGTGCAACTATCACCACCATCTGATTTTAGAATACTTTTGGACCCCTAAAGGAAACACTGGACCCATTTGTAATCACTTCCTAGTCCTCTCCCTGTAACTCCCACCCAATCCCGAAGCCATCACTGTAGATTGTACTCTTCTGGACATTCATGTAAATAGAATCATATAATATGTTATGGTCTTTTTGTCTGGCTTCTTAACATAATGTTTTCAAGGTCTGTCTATGTTGTAGCTTGTATCAGGACTTTATTCCTTTTTACTGCAATAATATTCCATTTTATGGATAGATGGCGCTTTGTTTATCCATTCATCAGACAATGGACATTTGGACTGTTTCCACTTTGGGCTATGATAAATAGTGCTGCCATGAGTATCTGTACACTAGTTGTACTAGTGGACTCATTTTTTTTCATGGCCCACTGTTCTCAACTCTCTTGGGTATACACCTAGGAGCGGAATTGCTTGGTCATATGGTAACTCTATGTTTAACCTTGTAAGGAACTGCCAGACTCTTTTCCAAAGTAGTTGCACTATTTTACATTCCCACCAGCAATGAACAAGGGTTTCCATTTCTCCATATCCTCTCTGACATCTGTTACTATTTGTCTTTTTGATTAAAGCCATCCTAGAGGTGTGAAGTGTCTCAATGCACATTTGATGAGGTTGCTAATAACCTCCTGTCAATCTGTCCAGGGGTTTGGCTCACTTTGCTGGACTTCTCTGTGTGTCTGACACAGATGTCCTCCCTTCCTGGAATTTCTCCTCCTCTGGCTTCAGAGACTCCATCCCCTCCTCCTCTTCTCTCATCTTTCCTTCCCAGTCAGCTTCACCACCTTCCCTTCTCCACCTGCCCTTAAATGTGGTACTCTACTGAGCCTCTCCAGTGGTCATATTAATTAAGCAATCGTTAATCAGTACCTCTACCCTATTGGTTCCCAACTCTCCTTCTCTATTCAAGGCCTCTCATATACCATGGAATACTATGCAGCCATAAAAAAGAATGAGTTCATGTCCTTTGCAGGGACATGGATGAAGCTGAAAACCATCATCCTCAGCAAACTAACACAGGAACAGAAAACCAAACACCACATGTTCTCGCTCATAAGTGGGAGTTGAACAATGAGAATATGTGGACACAGGGAGGGGAACATCACACACCAGGGCCTGTCGGGGGGTTGGGGGTAAGGGGAGGGAAAGCATTAGGACACATACCTAATGCATGCAGGGCTTAAAACCTAGATGACGGGTTGATGGGTGCAGCAAACCACCATGGCACATGTATACCTATGTAACAAACCTGCACATTCTGCACTTATATTCCAGAACTTAAAGTATAATAATAAAAGAAAAAAGTAAAATAAAAATTTTTAAAAACCTGTAACTCTGACCACTCCCTGGACATCTCTACTGTTGGTTCACAAAAACTCCCATGCACAGGTTCCAAACAGAGCTTTTCATCCTTCTCCATAACCCTGCCTCTTGTCCTGCAAGCCCTACTTCAGAACATGGTGCCACCACCCAGGGCTATAGGCAGAAAACCTGGGAATTTGGAAGTCAACCAAATGCCGCCCTTTCCCTTACAAGACTGTGAACTTCTGGAGGACAGGCTTATATGTTTTGTAGCACTTGTCTGAGCATTCAGCACTGTGCCCAGCACATGGCAGCCACTCAAGAAATGCTGGCTGCTGAAATAAAGAACAAATGGGCTCATCAATTAAAGAATCAGAAAGACATCAAAACCATACAAGGATACAACAAAAAGAGAGTTACAGGCCAGTACTCCTGATAAACACAGATGCAAAAATCCTCAACAAAATATTATCAAACAGAATTCAACAATGCATCAAAAAGATCATTCACCATGATCAATTCACCATGGGATTTGTTCCAGGGATGCAAGGATGGTTCAACATCCACAAATCAACAAATGTGATACATCACATTAACCATACAGAACAAAAACCACATGATCATTTCATTTTCAACAAAGGTGCCAAGAATATACATTCTTCAGTAAGTGGTGCTGGTAAAACTGGATAACCATATACAGAAGAATAAAACCAGACCCTTCTCTCTCACCATACATAAAAATCAAATCAAAATGGATTAAATCTAAGGCATGAAACAAAGAAACTCCTAAAAGAAAACATTGGGGAAATGCTTTAGGACGTTGGTCTGTCTGGGCAAAAACTTTTTAGATGAGACCTCAAAACCACAGACAACAAAAGCAAAAATAGACAAATGGGATTACATCAAGTTAAAAAGCTTCTGCACACCAAAGGAAACAATCAACCAAGTAAAGAGCCAATCTGCAGAATGGGAGGAAATATTTGCAAACTATCCATCCAACAAGGATTAATAACCTGAATATATGAGGAACTCAAAAAAATCAATAGCAAAAACACAAATAATGTGATTTTTTTAAGGGCAAGAAACATGAATAGAAATTTCTCAAAAGAAGACATACAAATAGCAAACAAGTATATCAAAAAACATTCAACATCATTAATTATCAAAGAAATGTAAATGTAAACTTTTTTTCACAGACAACCGTTCTCAACTCTCTTGGGTATATACCGAGGAGCGGAATTGCTTGGTAATATGGTAACTCTATGTTTAACCTTCTAAGGAACTGCCAGACTGTTTTCCAAAGTAGTTGCACTATTTTACATTCCCACCAGCAATGAAAAAGGGTTCCCATTTCTCCATATCCTGACATCTGTTATTATTTGTCTTTAATAATTTGGAGTCTGTGACATCTGCCCCCACCACGGGAACCACAATAAGCTATCATCTCACCCCAGTTAAAATGGCTTTTATCAAAAAGACAGGCAATTGAGAATGCTGGTGAGGATGCAGAGAAAGGGAAATGCTCACAGTGTTGGTGGGAATGTAAATTAGCATAGCCACTACAGACACTACAGTGTTTGGAGGTTCCTCAAAACACTAAAACTAGAGCTACCATATGATCTAGCAATCCCCCTGCAGGGTAAATATATCCAAAAGAAAGGAAATCAGTACATGGAAGAGGTCTGCACTCCCATGTTTATTGCAGCACTACTCACAATAGCCATGGTACAGAACCCACCTGAGTGTCCATCAACAGATAAGCGGATAAGGAAAATCTTTTTTATATACACAATGGATATTATTCACCCATGGAAAAGAATGTAATCCTGTCATTTGCAGCAACATGGGTAGAATTGGAGGTCATTATGTTAAGTGAAAGCCAGACATGAAAAGACAAATACCGTGGCCGGGTGCGGTGGCTCACGCCTGTAATCCCAACACTTTGGGAGGCCAAGGCGGGTGGATCACTTGAGGTCAGGAGTTCGAGACTAGCCTGGCCAACATGGCAAAACCCCGTCTCTACCAAAATTACAAAAATTAGCCGGTGTGGTGGCATGCGCCTGTAGTCCCAGCTGCTCAGGGAGGCTGAGACAGGAGAACTGCTTGAACCCAGGAGGCAGAGGTTGCAGTGAGCCAAGATGGCGCCACTGCATTCCAGCCTGGGCAACAGAGACTCTGTCTCAAAAAAAAAAAAAAAAAAAAAAAAAAGACAAATATCGCATGTTCTCATTCATATGTGGGAGCTAAAAAAGTGAATCTCGTGGAGATAGAAAGTTGACTGGTGTCACCAGAGGCTGGGAAGGGGCGGGGGAGGGCAGGATGAAGGGAGGTTGGTTAATGGGTACAAAAATACAGTTAGATAGAAGAAATAAGATCTAGTGTTCAATAGTACAATACAGTGACTATAGTTGATAATAATGTATTACATAGCTCAAAATAGCTAGAAAAGAATTTGAATGTTCCTAACTCAAAAGATCAATGTTTGAGGTGATGGATATTTCTCTTACCTTGATTTGATCATTATGCATTTTATCAAAATATCACACGTACCCCAAAAATATGCACAAGTACTGTGTGTTCATTTTTTTAAAAGAATCAGAAAGACAATTACCAAGAACAGGTTCAATGTAATGTAATATATGAGTTGCTTAAAAAGAAAAAAGCATAGAACCTTTTAGAAGCCCAGAGGAAGGTGCAACTAACTCTGCCTGGCAGAATCAGGGAAGGCTCCCATAAGACAGGCCATTTGAGTGAGCGTTGAAAAAGGAGGCAAAGAAACAAGAATCCAAGCAATGTTTCTAGCCTGGGTCAAAATGCGGCAAGAGTAACTCTGGAAGGTCCCAGGCAGAGACTGGCCAAGTCCGCCTCTTTGGATAAAGAGCTGAGTGAGTGACAGGGGACACACAGGTGCCTGAAGGCAGAGCCATCTCCTAAAGCTGAGCAAAGCTCCTCCCTGCAAGGTAGGGCACTGAACAGCTGTAGCAGTGGAGGGGGTTGACAGACCCCGCAAGTCAGGCTGGGGTAGGGGTTTCCCAACAGTTACCATCGTGCCCGGCTGTCGCCCTGGCCTTCTGAGCCCGTGTGCAGGCGGGGGAAGAGCCCCGAGCGTCGCTTGATGGGACTCCGTGACTGGTTCTTCACCGTTGCCGCCACCACTGGAGGCTGTCGATGAAATTGCCAAAATGAGTGCTCCCGGCCCAAACACCGATCTCCTATCCCCTCATCCTCCTCCCTGGTCTACAAATGGCTCCTGGTCTGGAAGAGACCCCAGAAAATAGCAAGACAGCTAGGAAGGTTGAGATCTATGTAACTGAAGCTGAGACCTGGAGACTCAGGCCAGTCACAGCCTCCTTCCCTGTGTTAAGCCAAACCTTGTGGTCCCAGGTCATGATCCACCAAAGACCACAACTGTTGGAGGAACACAGGGCCAGGCCCACCAAATTGAGAAGGTCAGAACAATTCCGGGGGACACAGGCTGAGAGGCACAGAGCCAGGGAGGCCCTGGAGGGACCTGGTTCAACCTCTCACTTTACCGGCAAGGAAGCTGAAGACCAAAGGTCTTCCAGCAAATCACTGGCAGGGTGAGGACTCCTGACTCTCCTTCATTCCTCGCAAACAAATGGAGCCGCGCAGGCGTTCCAATAACAAGACAGGCTGAGAGCCGCAGAGCCAGGGCCACAGGCACCAATGGGCGGTTGGCGGCAGCCAAGACGCCTTCTGCTTTGGAAAGCTGCCTGGCCTCACAGTGGACAATGAGTGGTGGGGGTTTGAGGAGGGCAGATGGGAGCCTGGAACCAACCTCTAGAGGCCACCAAGCCTCCAACTCAGGCCCCAGCTCCTGCCATGCACATGTTATGGCACCTCAGGAGAGCAATGAGACCCGACCTGAGTCTCCTCATCCACAGGATGGAGATGAGGCCCTGCTCTGCTCACGCCATGCACCTTCAGGGGGAAGCAAGATAATAGCTAGGAAAATATTTAGTCAATTAAATTAATTATGCGAGGCCATTTATAATACTCATAATTAGTTCCATGGTGAGTATGTTCTGCTATTTTGAAGGAAAAGAAAGGAAAATCCTAGTCTATACAAATCCAAAGCCACTTTGCTTTAGTTACTTAGATTTGGAGACAGGGTCTCACTCTGACATCCAGGCTGGAGTGCAGTGGCCCAATTACGGCTCGCTAGAGCCTCAACCTCCCCAGGCACAGGTGATCCTCCCACCTCAGTCTCCCAAGTAGCTAAGACTACTGGTGCGTGCCACCATGCTCAGCTAATTTTTGCATTTTTTTGTAGAGATGGGGTCTCACTTTGTTCCCCAAGCTGGTCTCGAATTCCTGGACTCAAGGGATCCACCCTCCTCAGCCACCATGCCCGGCCCACTTTGCTTTATGAAAGGCCCAACTACATGATTCCCTCCCCTTCCCAGCCCCTGGTACGAGTCAATCAGGCCCAAACTCACAGGCCTGCAGGACCCTTCCCTTGGGAACTGTACACATGGTGATGAACAGCACAGACTTTGGATCCAGCAGAATCGCATTCAAATTCAGTTGATTTTGTGTTTTGTTTTGTTTTGTTTTTTTGAGACAGTCTCGCTGTCACCCAGGCTGGAGTGCAGTGGCATGATCTCGGCTCACTGCAAGTTCCACCTCCCAGGTTCAAGCAATTCTCTGCCTCAGCCTCCTGAGTAGCTGGGATTACAGGCACCCGCCACCACGCCCAGTTAATTTTTGTATTTTTAGTAGAGACGGGGTTTCACCAAGTTGGCCAGGCTGGTCTTGAACTCCTGACCTTGTGGTCCACCTGCCTCAGCCTCCCAAAGTGCTGGGATTCCAGGCATGAGCCACCACGCCCGGCCTCAAATCCCAGCTCTTAAGCTTAGCTGAGTGGCCTCTAGCAAGTTACTGAGCCCCAGCGGGCCTCCTTTTCCTCAAATGGGAACAGGAGAACACATCAGCACCCATCTCGGGCAGCTGCTATGGGAAGCAGGTGAGATTGTGTCTACAGGTTACTCAGCTCAGTGCCTGGTACACAGTAAGCTGGGGTGGCTACTGCTGCCATTAATAATAACAAAGCAAGGACACCCCTCTCACAGTCATGGGTCCCGAGCCCCTGAGCAGCAAAACACACCCCAGGACCACACTGCAGGGCTGGCCCCGAGGAGGAGGTCTAGCTGTCAAGGAAACTCAAGAGAACAGGACAGGAGGGCTTCTAGCACCATCTGGGTCAACCCCGGGTGCTGTCTAGGATGGAGGCTCCAAAGGACCGTTTTCAGAGGTCAGGGGTCAGGGTCACCCCCAAGCAGCCTCAGTTTCCCACCATCATCCAGCTTGCCCTGATCAAGTCACCTGCCCAAGCCTGGGTGGGGGCACTCTTCCTCCATAGGTCTGGGGGGGGCCTCCCTGGGACCCACTTGCCGCCCCGGGGCCTGCCAGCACTCACCGAGAAGGTGGTCTTGGTGACCTCCATGCTGTTGTGGGAGATGCCCCCGCTGAGGCTGCCAGGGATGCCCCCACTGTGCGACTTCTTCTGGCCGCCCACCATGGTCTCC
Source organism: Homo sapiens (assembly GCF_000001405.40). Lineage (NCBI taxonomy): Eukaryota > Metazoa > Chordata > Mammalia > Primates > Hominidae > Homo > Homo sapiens. The sequence goes on along the minus strand of NC_000017.11, from coordinate 3,018,089 downwards.
ATGGAGTGGCTGCGTACGCGGATGGCCCTCTACGGGGAGAGAACAAGGGCCTGAGAATCAGCACCCGGGCTCTCCGGATGACTCTGCCCTCCTCGTGGGGTCTGTAGACACAGCCCTCAGCACACGTATGCGTGCACACATACACACACACACACACACACACACACACACACGGTCACAGAGGCCCATACTAGTTACTCCAGCTTACAGAGGATGTTTCCATATTCTGCCCCACACTCTGGGCATGGGTGGAGGCAAGGCACAGCCCCGGCTGGAGGGAATCTGAGGGGTCAGCGCCCCAGCTCCCCTGCACGGTGGACAAAGGTTATTATCTTCATCTTACAGGTAAGGAAAATGAGGCTTGGAGCTCGCCAAGCCTGTGCGACACTGACCTAGTTACTAACCTCTCTAAGCTACAGCTTCCTCATCTGTAAAATGGGAATTCTATGTTTCACACCCAGCATCGTGGTGGGGATTCAACACACTCAGGTGTCTGACCACAAGTTGACTCTTTTCCAGAAAACTGAGCCTCCATCTGTAATAAACACTGGATTGTATCCCAAAGTGTGCTCTGGGCAACTTGGAATATGCTGGCCATGGGTGCAAGTGTGTGAGGGTCTCTTACTCATCTGTGCATCAATCCATGCACTGAGCCGCCCCTCCCACTTGCAGGGGCTTCAGATCCGCCTTTGTTACGGCCCCTGGTCTGATGGAGGTGCTGAAAGAGATGCACCCTCAGCCTGGCAGAAGTGCAGGGTCTCGGGGGGCACGGAGCTGCTCAGGCCACCCAGGAGCAAGGGGCACACTGGCAAATGGTGAAGTACCCAGGAGAGGACCACCAGGGAGGTCAAGGCTTTGTCAAAGTACATGTGAGAGTGAGAACAGCTAAAAACCAAGATTACTCAGCCACGGGAGGGATGGACCCGGGAAGGCACAACCACCCCTCAGAGTGCTGTGTTGAAGCAGAGCTCGGCTCCACCTCAGGGGGGGATTTCCTGACAAAAGAAGTCCCAGGGGACTCTGGCTGCCCCCTGGATGATGCTCTCTCTGGCTCCAAAGGCCTTCAAAGATGGTGTGAGAATTCTAGGAAGAGAAGGTTCTCTCCAGTAACCCTTTGATCATTCCATCAGTCACTGGATCTGGCCGGGCAGGAATGCAACTCAGCAGTCAAAAGCATGGAGGCTTTAGGGTTTCACTGCCAGGATTTGTATCTGGGCTTCTGGGCCCTCTACTCCAGCACGCATTAGCTGAGTAACCCCGGGCAGGTGACCCAGCTTCTCTGAGACTTAGAGTGAAAGAGATGTTGGTGTCTACACCACAGAGTAGTTGTGAGAATACACACAGGGCTCTGAGGAGACAGCCCAGCACATCGTAATGATCTGATAAGTGTGGCTACTCTTACGGTTAATAACAAGCACCTGCTGCAGGCTGCTCACGTGCCTAGCACTGTGCCAGGAACTGGGAGACCCGCAGCAGGAAAGTCGAGATGTGTAGGACATGGCCTCTGCCTCTGAGGAATGCCCAAGACATATTCCTCACATTGGGCGATGCTGAAAGACCCAGAGCCTGTGGGGTGCTCCTTCTGGATTAATCAGTTGTCCAGGCTTCTGCAAGGGCAAAGACTCCTGGACACGAATATTATCTGTTGTTCACATACAAGTATCAACACCTCTGCTCCCTGAGCTCCCCACTGGCAGAGCCAGGTTCTAGCCAAACGTGTCCTCCTCCTCCATGGGACGCAGGATTAAGTCATGATCTGCCTAAGGCAGTCAGTTAGCCTATCCTCTTGCCAGTGGCAGAGGAGGGCATATCCACTGGGTGCGCTGGGGAAAGGTTTTCTCAATGATTCCCAAAAAAGATTTAACATGTCAGCAGTGTTTTGTCAGCAGACAAAACCATGACAATGATCTTAGGGCCACGAGGGGCCAAGCCTGAGGGACAAAGCTGACAAGCCAGGGAGGGCAGAGGGGAAAGACGAAAGGAATCTTGATGCTGACTGAGCCACGAGTCACCCAGCCCTCCTTGGACACCAGCTCATGAATTTTCCTTATCGTAGTGTGAGCTAGTCGAGGGAGGCTGCTCTCAGAACTCCAGCTTCAGAAAGCTGATGCAGAAGGACTAAGGTGTGGGCCCCGCTCCCCTTCCCCTCTGGATTCACACCTGTGCACACCTGTACAACTGTGTTGGCTCACACACCCCATGTGTAACCTACAGATGGTCTCATGTGGACAACCTCCCTTCCTCTTTTGAGCCATCTTTTTTTTTTTCTGAGACAGAGTCTAGCTCTGTCACCCAGGCTGGAGTACAGCGTGTGGCACGATCTCAGCTCACAGCATCCTCCGCTTCCCAGGTTCAAGAGATTCTCCTGCCTCAGCCTCCCGAGTAGCTGGGACTACAGGCGCCCGCAACCATGCCTGGCTAATTTTTGTATTTTTAGTAGAGATGGCGGTTCACTGTGTTGGCCAGGCTGGTCTTGAACTCCTGACCTCGTGATCCACCTGCCTCAGCCTCCCAAAGTGCTGGGATTACAAGCGTGAGCCACCACGCCCAGCCTTGAGTCATCTTAGGAAGAGCTGGGTCTACAGCAAAGTGGTCCCAAGAAAATGGCAGGGCTGCTGCTCCTGACCCAAACAACAGGTCTCCCTGGGCTCTCTGGACGTCAGGATTTCTCCAAGCTTGGGAAGGGCAAAGAACCCCATCCTGCCTGCTTTTCTATCCTGACAAGGGATGCAGACTCAGGAGGGCCATTTGTAAACCGGACAGCCCCCTAGATGAGCTACTGACAGTGAGGTGTGTAGCCCACCAGCTTCATACCCCTGATTTGATCGGGCATCTCTTATCTGAGTCAAAGATGCCCCTGGAGGGACATCTCTCACTCCCTCTCTATACCATAGAACAGGGTCACCTAGCAACAGTTTTCCTACCGCATGGTTAAAACAGTCAGCGCGTTCTATTTACCCCGTCACGCAAGCATCATAAAGCCATGTACCCTTTGAACAACTGAGGGCAGGACAGGGGTGGTGGCACACTGAGGTGTCCCTGGAGGAGCGGCGAGCTTCCTTTTTTAAAATAAATAAATAAATAGAGACAGGTTCTTCCTGTGTTGCCCAGGCTGGTCTCAAACTCCTGGGCTCCAGTAAGCCTCCTGCTTTGGCCTCCCAAAGTGAGCCACCAAGCCTGGCCGCAGCCAGGTTCCATGAATGAGTTAAGTGCTCCATAAATCTCAGCATCTCGGCCAGGGGCGATGGCTCACGCCTGTAATCCCAACACTTTGGGAAGTGGAGGCACGTGGATCACCTGAGGTCAGGAGTTCGAGACCAACCTGGCCAACATGGTGAAACCCCATCTCTAATTTTTGTAAAAAATACAAAAATTAGCCAGGCATGGTGGTGTGTGCCTATAATCCCAGCTACTCGGCAGGCTGAGGCAGAAGAATTGCTTGAATCCAGGAGGCTGGGGTTGCAGTGAGCCGAGATCGCACCACTGCACTCCAGCCTGGGTGACAGAACGAGACTGTCTCAAAAAAAAAAAAAAAAAAAAAAAATCAGCATCTTTACATTCTCTTGGTGCCCTTGTGCGTTGACAACACCATCATCAATCATGACATTCCAAACTAATCATTTATATTCTGCAATCCAGTCCAGCACCACACAATGACACTGCAGTCAACAGACTGCATAGATGACACTGGTCCTATTAAGATTCTAATACTATATTTTTACTGTACCTTTTCCATATTTAGATGTTTAGTATACAAATGCCTGTCTTTGTGTTACAATTACCTACAATATTCAGTAAAGGAACCTGCTGCACAGCTTTGTAACCTGGCAGCCACAGGCTCTATAGCCGACGTGTGTCCTAGGCTCGACCATCCAGGTCTGTGCTGGCAGCCACGCGCCCTATAGCCAACGTGTGTCCTAGGCTAGACCATCCAGGTCTGTGCTGGCAGCCACACGCTCTATAGCCGACGTGTGTCCTAGGCTAGACCATCCAGGTCTGTGCTGGCAGCCACGGGCTCTATAGCCGACGTGTGTCGTAGGACGTATTCCCGTCATTTCTCAGGACGTATTTCCCGTCGTTGAGTGACACGTGATTGTATTCCTCCCTGTCTCTTTCCCAGAAAGGATTCCATGTGGGAAATAGTAACTCCTGTGTAACAGTATCTGGTCTCATGAGCTTCACATACAAGATCTATTGAATCTCTACAATTCTGAGATGCAGAGAGGACAGGCATTGGACAGAAAAAGTTCTGAAGGGTAAATTATTGCCCAAGCCCACATAGCAGGTAAGAGATAGAGCCAGGATCCAAACCCAGAACCCTGGGCTCCAGATAAAAGGGTCCCTGTATATTAAAAACTGGTCCAGGTTGAAAATACAATTCAACTGGTGGATGACTGAAGGATGATTAGAAACCACGAATTTTCAAGGCTCCCACCAAAAAAAAAAAAAAAAAAAAAGAAAAGAAAAGAAAAGAAAAACTCAGAGGCTGGTGTCAGGGAGGACACTGGCTCCTCAATTAGTCCTGGTGCAGCCGCCGGAGTCAGCAAGGTAAGTGTGAGGAGGCGGCAGGCTGGGTAAGTGTGAGGAGTCAGCACCGGGTCTTCTGTCCCTCTAGCGGGGCAAATGCAAGACAGATGCCAACTCTGCTCCAAGAGACCATGACTCCGACCCAGGAGTGGAGCAGGGCCAAGCACAAGGCCTGAGCTCTCTCGTGGACCCCCAAAACAGCGGGGCCATCCTGACATCACAACTCCCCATCAGGAGGAAAAGGAGGGGGCAAAGACGCCAAAGACCAAGGATTCTTGGCGGGGCCCTGCTGTGCTCCACCTGCCATCACTGGCACTGCTAGGGGGACCGGCTTACAGGTACCTCCCTGCAGGTACTGCGGGGCCACAAAGACTGCCAGGGATAGCTGTGGCCCCTCCTGCCACTAGGGGTCAGGTCAGACCAAGGCATGAACTATCACAGTCCCTCAAAGGCTGGGAGAAATGAACCTGGCAACTCCCAGCTTGCCACGGTCCCGGGTCCATCACAGCCAGCCCGGCAGCCTTCTCCTCCCCGGTCCTCTGCTCCACCTCTGTGCGATGAGGTCAGTGGAGGGCTGGGTGAGCTCAGCATTTCTCAAAATGTGGCCTGCACGTGCTCTACGTCCATCTGACGTCGGTACAGCAAGTATCATCACTTTTCATTGCATTACGGACCAATAACAACCTCATCAACAGCTGGCAGTAACTGAGAATGGCACTGGAAAATGGTCTAGAGATCAGCATCGTTCAAACATAACGTACAGCTCTTTCATCGTGAAAGCTGTTCTCGCAAGACTCCCGAGAATCTGCTCACAGACCCCCAACCCCAGTGGCCCCATGGGCTGCGTATGCAGTGCTGACTTCAGGCCTTACCTATTTACCCTATAGGAACATCTCTTAATTTGGAGTGATCACTGCAAACTTTAGGTTTGTTTTTTTTTTTTTTTTTTTTTTTTTTGAGACACAGTCTGGATCTGCTGTGCAGTGGCGCAATCTCAGCTCACTGCAACCTCCACCTCCCAGGTTTGAGCAATTCTCCTGCCCCAGCCTCCCAAGTAGCTGGGATTACAGGTGTGCACCACCACGCCCATCTGATTTTTGTATTTTTAGTAGAGACAGGGTTTCACCACGTTGGCCAGGCTGGTCTCGAACTCCTGACCTCAGGTGATCCACCTGCCTCGGCCTCCCAAAGTGCTGGGATTACAGACGTGAGCCACCGCGCCCAGCCAAACGTTCAGTCTTTATAATTGGAAGGTTTTTTTTTTTAGATCTAAGTGAAAATGCAAACTTTAGAAGTGTTTGTAGAACCAGCAGATTCCTGAGACTATCTCCAAGCAGTTCAGCTTGAAAAGTAGGTCTAGATGTCCAAAAGCCAACTGTTCTGTGTCTCATGGGAGAAACGCTTCCATTACAGCTGGGAGGACAGAAGTGAGCTGTAAGGAACTGCTCCAAGCGGGGTGAGGTGCCAGGCGGCACAACACAGGGCAATGGCAGGCCTGCTGCTCAGGAGAAAGATCAAGGGTCAGTGCTGACGTGGGGGAGCAGCAGCCTCACCAGGGGCAAGGATGGATGGCTGAGATGGCTTTCAGCCCTGGGGATTCTCAGTTATGCTCCCATCAGCCTGGGAAATGAGAACTTTGACAGGAAGGAGGCCGGGCGCAGTGCCTCACGCCTGTAATCCCAGCACTTTGGGAGGCCAAGATGGGCGGATCACCTGATGTCAGGAGTTCAAGATCAGCCTGACCAAGATGGTGTCCCTACTAAAAATACAAAAAATTTAGCCATGTGTGGTGGCGGGCACCTGTAATCCCAGCTACTCGGGAGGCTGAGGCAGGAGAATCGCTTGAGCCCGGGAGGCAGAGGTTGCAGTGAGCCGAGGTCGCACCACTGCACTCCAGCCTGAGCCTGGGCAACAAGAGCAAAACTCCATCTCAAAAAAAAAAAAAAAAAAAAACTTTGACAGGAAGAGATAAAGGCCTGTAACTTTTCTTCCTGGAACATTTCAGGTATCACTTGTTTCAAGAGCGATCCCAGGAAGGTGTGGGTGAACTCCCTAAGCAACGTCCTGTTGACACAGCAGCACCGCCCAAGGTGCCCAGGAAAAAAAAATACCAAAACTAGGGATGGTTTCCTGAGCTGGGCCAGACACACAGGCCTGGCCACAGGCATGGCCTAAACACCAGAATCCACCCCAGGCCCCAGGGCTCCATTCGGCTGAGCCTGGCCTGTCCCCAGCTCAGGCCTCCATGCTTGGGAGATGTGAGGGCAATGACGAAAGGGACAGGGAACAGGAGCTCGTGCTCCCCAGGTGGGAGGGAAAAAAGCTGGTCACAAATGGCCGGGCGCGGTGGCTCACACCTGTAATCCCAGCACTTTGTGAGGCTGAGGTGGGCGGATCACCTGAGGTCAGGAGTTCGAGACCAGCCTGGCCAACATGGTGAAACCTCGTCTCTACTAAAAATACAAAAAGTTAGCCGGGCGTGGTGGCGGGCACCTATAATTCTAGCTACTCAGGAGGCTGAGGTAGGATAATCACTTGAACCCGGGAGGCAGAGGTTGCAGTGAGCCAAGATTGCACCACTGCACTCCAGCCTGGGTGACAAAGCAAGACCCTGCCTCAAAAAAAATTAAAAAATAAAAAAATTTAAAAAAAATCTGGTCACAACCGTCAGGGCCCTGAAGCTTACTCTGTGTGACTGTCACAGTCTCTCCCACGCCCCACGGTGCTACCTCAGGTAGGTGTGAGAGCAGAATCTGGAAGCAGGCCTGTCTTCAACCTACAGTTGCAGGGTTTTAGTATTGAAAAGAATTCCCTGGATCACTGGATCAAAGATGAGTCGTGATAAAGTCTTAAAGTGTTTCCTCTCTTGTAAGCCCCTCTAGGAATACGTCAGACCCCCTCGAGTCAAGCACAGATCAACTGCGACTCCTGCCAGAGGCGGGGGACTGGACAGAGCGGCCTCAGGCCACTCTCTTTATACCTGCCACCTGTATTTAGCTGCTGGACCACCTCCTCCATTGGGCACCATGGGCAGAGTGTCCACAGCCTACAAGCATCTCCAGGATATAGAAATACTTGAAACCTGAAAAACCAATTAACTCCAAAATACTACAAGAAACCTGCAAAACTCAAAACAAGTGCTTCATTAAATGTCTACAAAATACAACATTATGTTGGCTCCCCAACTGCAGCTCAACTTTTCTTTTTTTTTTTTTTTTTTTTTTTTGAGACAGTCTCGCCCTGTCTCCAGGCTGGAGTGCAGTGGCGTGATCTCGGCTCACTGCAACCTCCGCCTCCCGGGTTCACGTGATTCTCCTGCCTCAGCCTCCTGAGTAGCTGGGATTACAGGCTCACGTCACCACGCCCGGCTAATTTTTGTATTTTTAGTGGAGACGAGGTTTCACCATGTTGGCCAGGATGGTCTCGATCTCCTGACCTCGTGATCCGCCTGCCTCGGCCTCCCAAAGTGCTGGGATTACAGGCGTGAGGCACGGCACCTGGCCTCACCTCTTATAGTTCTGCATAAATTACATTTACTGAGGGATGCAGAATGTTTTGATACGTGGGCTATGGAGTGTGGTGGAGCCTCTGGAAGGAAGTCTAGAGCCTGTGGAAGGCTTAATGTGGTGCCCCCCTTCCTGCCTTCCCCAGACCCAAGCCCGTTTTCCTGTTTACCGCATCTCACACTCTCCATTCTCTCGCTGGGTTGTCTGACCTGGCGCCCTCTCTCCTCCCGTTCCTCTTCTTCTGCATCCCTCTTCCGTCTTGATCTCCCAATTTCTCCTATTTCACCCGGGCTCCCACTGTCCATCAGCACTGAAACAGGTGCCCCAGGAATCACCCACCAGCCTGGACAAGCAGCTCAGCTCCTTTTCCCAACCCCAAGAGGCATCTTGGCAGCTGGCCCCAACTAGGGTAGGAAGAGCTGTGCCCTGCTCTCTGCGGTCCAGCCGGGCAGTGGGGGACTGACCCCAGGCCTGCCCGGGCCCAGGCTAGTGCGGGTGGAATCTTAACAAAGTCAGGAAGTGGGAGGTGGTGTCGGATTTGGAATCCGGCGGACCTGGATTCAACTCCACCTGCTCCCACAAATGATTCTGTCTCTTTGAGGCTTGGTTTCCTCCCATATAATACTATGCCTATCATTATTAAAACTGAGTATGAACTATTATACCAAAATTATTACACCCCAAATAATAGCCTTCCTCACAGGGCACTGAGGGCAGTTGTGAATCTCCAGGTGGGATAATGTGTGTGAAGCTTTCACTTTATACAACTGTAATAACAGCTGACATTTTTGAGCATTTACTATATTCCAGGCAATCTGGACTTTTCCAGGCATGGTATCAATGAACTCGCACAATGGCTCTGACAGGGGTCCTGCTTCCTATCCTTATGTTGTTGACAAGAAAGCTGCACCTTAAGAGGCTTGAAAGACTGCCCAGGATCCCACAGAGCTGCGGTTTTAATAGAGGTGGGTGTAGCCCTACACATAATTCCCCATAAAGTCCCACACATAATGCCCCCAGATGGGAGTTTCCAAATCACCTTCTAACAGGCAATCCAGCAGCACACGGACCTAAGAATCAGAAGACCTGCGTTTGAAATGAGGCTCTAACTCTGCCTCGGTGTAAGGACCTGAGCAGGCCTGTGGCGTCTCTCATCCTGTCCCCACGTGTGTTCGTGAATATAACAAGACCCGTTCCGCCACCTGCACAGGCTGACAGCCAGGCTCGAGCCAGATGCTGGGTCTACGTGCTGCGTGGACCAACAAGCACTCAGCAAGCATAAGATGAAAAACCTCTACCACACGCCAGCTCGGGGGCCGTCCGAGCTCCACTTGAATACTTCCAGGGACAGGGAGCTCACTGCTTCCTTTAGCAGCTCCTTCTAGTTAGTTTTTTTCCCTTGGCAAAGTCCAAAGGGACTTGCCTATAGTTCCATGGCCCCTGCCCAGCCAGGTCTTCCAATGCTCGGCCGGCTGGCTAGGAAGAATCACTGTGGCACCCACAGCAGCTACGAAGACCCGTAAGGGCTGTGGTCCTCGCTCCTGCCATTCTGCCCTGGGCTCCCCAACCCAGGAGGAGGCAGGTGAAAGCGCCGATGTTCCTGGCTTGCTCCAGCTCCTCTCCTACTGCTACCTCTTTACCTGTCCCTGCTTAACAGACTTCTGGGCCCGGAGGAGATGACCCAGATAGAGGAAGGATGGGGAGGCTGCTGAGAAAACTGCTGGCTGCTCCAGCCTCACACACTTCCTAACGGCCCTGCCCTTTGCAAACACCTAGGATACCCATACGTTTCCTGTCACCCCTCCAGCTGGCCCTTGGGCTCTGGGATCAGTATCCCATGGACCTTGGACCACTTCCTTTCTTCCCCAATCCCAACCCCACAGCAACCATCAGTCACTCTGACGCTCATACCTTAAAAGACTCCAGGAACCCCCCGTGGCCTCCATTCTCAAACTTGTCCTCCTCTGGGCCCAGTCCCAGCATGGCCTGTGTGTGGGCGTGGAGCTCATCGTGAAGGTTGTCCAGGAGGGCAGCCCTGGTCCGGTCCTAGAAGGGAAGAGGGTGGGGATGGAGAAGCTGGCTCTGAGAGCAGAGATGTGCCTGCTCCTTGTGAGCTCCAGACACCTGGCCTGGAGGCTGACATTCTGCCCAGCCCGGCCCAGCAACGGTGTGGACCTACTGCTGAGCTGAGCTTCGTGCTCACAAATGCTGCAGCTAAGATGAAGGCTGCGTGCTCGGCCTCCTGCTCTACTCCCCCTGCCCTTCTCCCTGGGTCGTCCCACCACTGCCACAGCTCCACCCTGGTGGTAGAGGAGCAGAAGGAAGAGTGAATCCCAGCCCGGCCCTCTGCCCCAGCTCCACATCCACGCACCCAACTCCCCACTGCTCCTCTCCATCCAGATGTTCGTCCAGAGCCATGCACATGGATGCCAGGGGCCGCTATTCACACAGATGAGGACTGGCCCTTTCAGCAACCCGGCCTTCGCAGGCACAACTTGGCCACCATGTCATCAAAGAGCCCAGGCCAAAGGCCCAAGAGTCACCCTACAATCAATCCCACGTCCCACAACACTTACAGCCAGGAGTCCACCAAGTCTTCCCAACCTTGACCCTAAACCATTTCCTTCCATACAGTATAAGCCTTTGTCATCTCTCCTGCATTCCTGTAAATAGCTTCTAACTGGCCGCCTTCCTGCACCTCTTGCCCTGCAACCTGTCCTTGTCACCATCGTTCTCAATGACACCACTGTCAGAGCAATCCCTCTGGCATACACATCGAGCCCCTCACTCTCCTGCCTAAGCGCTTTACCAGCAGCCCACCGTCCCGAGCTCAAAGCCCTTCTGGATCTGATCCAACCAACATCTCCGGCTGAGTCTCCACCATTCCAGCCCCCGTGGGTCCTTCAGCCACAGCAAACCCTCAGGAGCTCCCTCCTGACGTCAGGCTCTGGTTCTTCCTGACCTTTGCTCATGCTGTCTACCATGCCAGATCAGCCCTCCCTTCCCCACTCTTTCCTCCTGGCAGAAGGTTCATCTGATATCAAGATTCAGCTGTGCATGAGCCACCTCCTCCAGGAAGCCTTCCCTGAACACACCCTCTGTCCCCTACAGGCAGAAACAGTCACTATCTGAGCTGTGCTGACCTCCATCCCAGCCTAGTGCTGGCACACTGTACTATAACTATCTATTTAGTAATGACCCCCTGCCCCACCCCCCGACTACCCTGTGTACTCTCCAGGGATAGAAACTGTCTCACTTATCCCCATATCCCAGGGAACAGAATAGGGCCTGACACATAGTAGGTGCTTTAAAAATGACTGATTGGGCCAGGCGCAGTGGCTCACGCCTGTAATCTCAGCATTTTGGGAGGCCGAGGCAGGCGGATCACGAGGTCAGGAGATCAAGACCATCCTGGCTAACATGGCAAAACCCCATCTCTACTAAAAATACAAAAAATTAGCTGGGCGTGGTGGCGGGCGCCTGTAGTCCCAGCTACTCGGGAGGCTGAGGCAGGAGTATGGTGTGAACCCGGGAGGCAGAGCTTGCAGTGAGCCAAGATCGGGCCACTGCACTCCAGCCTGGGTGACAGAGTGAGATTCTGTCTTGAAAAAAAAAAAAGGACTGATTGGCCAGGCGCAGTGGCTCACGCCTGTAATCCCGGCACTTTGGGAGGCTGGGCCAGGCGGATCACCTGAGGTCAGGAGTTCAAGATCAGCCTGGCCAACATGGAGGAAACCCTGTCTCTACTAAAAATACAAAAATTAGCTGGGCGTGGTGGCGCACACCTGTAATCCCAGTTACTAGGGAGGCTGAGGCAGGAGAATCACTTGAGCCCGGGAGGCAGAGGTTGTGGTGAGTCCCAAGATCATGCCACTGCACTCCAGCCTGGGTAACAGAGCAAGACTCTGTCTCAAAAAAAAAAAAAAAAAAAAAAAAGATGGAGGAGCCCTGGATGAGGCTGGCTAACAGGTGGCCCAGCAGTCAGGAGGGAGACCTTCAGAAACCACACTCTCACCTCCAGCTTTGCAAACTTGTCCGACTTGCAGCAGGCGTTCTCGGCATTGGTGAGCTTGGTGAGCAGAAACTCCCTGAATTCCGGGCCCTGGAAGAGACAAGACGGACCTCAGGTCTGTCACTCTCGGCTGTTGCCAGAAGGTCTTCAGCCACAGTGACAGGCAGGCAGAGCCGGGGCCATGGGGAGAACCCCTGAAAAGTCCCTTCCGACAGCGGATCATTTCTAGCCCAGGCCAAGCCCACTTGCAAATATCCCAACAAGGAAACCCGCTTCCCTGGTCCTGGGAAGCCACAGTGGCACTTCCACGACTGGAGCTCATTCCTGCCCAAGGCTCCTTGACCGGGGCTCAACATAAAAGCCCGTCTTTCAGCAGAAAAGCAACCCCAGTGTCAAACACCCTGACAAGTGGTCCTATGCTGGGCCAGACTGGCAGCATGAAAGAGGTGGGGAGAGACCCCAAGAAAGGAGGTTCCCCCCAAAACCTGCAAAAGGAGCTCCCTAATGTTCCCAGCCTGAATTTGGCTCCATCCCAACCATTGCTACTCAAGCACTGAGACCTGGCATCGTGGATGCGAGAGGGGCAGAAGGAAGAGTGTCCTACCTTCTGGAAAACGGGGGGACTGGGCAGAGGTGGACCAAAGGTGGGCACATCTTCCCGCGCAGTGACAGAGACCTGAGTGAAACAGAGTCATGGTACGGACCTGGAGGGAAGAGACGAGCGCTGCCCCTACGGGAGCCACGCTCCTTACAAAGCTACTCACCTTCTCCCTCCTCCTCTTCCCAGAACACAAACAAAATACTCCTGTGAGCATCGCCAGCACAGGCCCTGACCCTGTTCCTAGAAGTGGGGCCGGACGGTGTGGGGCCATCCGCAGCCTCTCATCTGCATTCCTGGAGGCCAGAAGCAGGTTTGGCAAGATGACTGGACAGGGCTGGGACCCTAATTTTAATGCCATACAAGTGCCCGGGAGATGGCATCTCGTGACCTCATTCGACCGTGACGCTAATCCTACTGAGAAGGCACAGGGAGAACTGTTCTCCCTGATGAGGAAACAGATGCCCAGAGACACACAGAGAAGCCCCCAAGTCCCACAGGTGATTAGCCGCAGAGGAACAGAGCATCCAGACCTCTCCCGACCCGTCTCTGGGGTTCTCTTCCCAAGCCTGACTCCTCAGCTCGGCCATAAATCAGAATTGCTTCAAAATTGCTTCAGGTGTTTAAAAATACAGACTGGGTTCATGGGCTCTGGCCTAAACCTGCCGAATCGGAAGGGTAGGGCCCCCCGGAAACTCTCGTGCAGCCGGTGGACCCGTGTTCGGGAGCCCTGGCCCCACACACGGGGTCAGCCAGTCCTAGGCCCAGGCTAGGAACTGAGGGTGGGGCGCGCACCTCTGGCACCCTGAGTGAGACTGAGCTTTAGAGTGACGGCCTCGAGGTTCGCTGCATGGGGGTCGCCCAGGCGTGGGACGGGCCCCACACCCCGCCTTCCCTCTGCACAGAGGTGCCCTGACTTCACCTATTCTCAGCCCACGAGGCTGTGAGGCTCTCGGGAGACTGCCCTCCCTTCCCTACACAGCCGCTGACGTGAGCCCAGCCCTGGCGTGCTGCCAGCCTCCCCGGCCTGTGAAGTGGAGCAGATGCAGAGTCTGCCAGGCCGGGTGAGCAGGCAGCTGGGCACCGAGCCAAGGAAAGGCCCTGCCAGAGTCCGGAGGGGAAACGGAGCGGGAGAGAGCTGGTCAATACGGGCTTTCTCTTCTCAAGCTCCAGGCTGTCTGCCCAGCCCAAACTGCAGTGCCCCGAGTCAGGAAATGGTGCGCGTTCGGCTGACGTGATTTCTGGCTGGGCTCCAGCAGCTGAACCCGGTTCCCTACCACCACCCACCAGGCACCGGTGGCCCAGGTCAAGAATTCAGTCACAGAGCCAGAATCAGGGGTGGGGGTGTGGGAAGGCTATGGGGAGACTGCAGACCGTGGGCACCTGGGACAGAGGCCAGAGGGCAGCCCCAGCTCTGCCCTTCCCACCCCACTCCCCCTCCTCCTCCAGCCTGCATTAGAGTGGTCTGTGCCGACCGTGTAAGTGGCTTCAGACACATCCTCAAGTCCATCCAACCCTCCAGCTGGACAGTCCCACAGCAGAGCCCTGTGGGCCACACGGAGGACAGGGCCCTTCCTTGCGACGTGCGTTCACCTTCCATCCTCATTGTGCGCCTCTCTTGACCCCATTCCAACCAGGCGGCCAGGCCTTTGTTGTTCCCCCCTCTTGGGGACATCTGGGTCACTGGACTGAAAGCAGAAGTTGCCTGAACACAGCCCCACCTTCCTGTTTTCTAAATGCAGCGAGGGCCTCCAGCGAGGGCTTGGAGGGAGGGAGAGAGGCAGATGCAGGTGACTCTGGGGAAGGGACCTGCATGGCTGGAAGGAGGAAGGAGCTTGGTGTGGGTCATGAGGATGCACTGGGAACCTCAGAAAGCTTCAAACGTGACAAAGGCCCCACGCCCAAGAGTGGCCTGGGAGCCGCGGTGGCACACAGAGCATCGTCCGAGCAACAGACAAGTCGTGACGGGAAACGGGGAGGGGGCTACAAAGACAGGGCCCTCCCCGGCGGTGGGCTTCACCTGAGATTCCTGACACCTTTGAGGACTTCCGGAGAGGGAGGCAGGGATAGGGGGGAGGGAAAGGGGTAGTCCTGGTGATGGCTGAGCTGGACTTTCCTTCCAAGCAGGCAGGATGAGGACTACACTCATTTCTGAAAAATAATCCAGAGTGATGCTTCGTGCACACCCGACTCCGTGGAGCCAATTTCTCGCCTGCTCTGATGGCTCAATGACCAAGACCGCAAGCAGACCCAGACAGGACCTCAGCCACAGCTCCCTGGCTCTGTGGCCTCAGGCCTTAAGTGGGTTCAGCTCTCAGCTTCCATTTCCTCCCTCTAGCGAGAGGTCTTGTCTCACCAGGGGCTTGTCAGGATTCAAGACTGTGCGTCTAAGGACCCAGCACCGTGCCTGGCATGAGCAAGCAGCTGGTAAGGGGTAACCACTGTCGCCCAGTGGCCTTTTCACTTCCCCTGCTGACCTGCACCCAGTAAAGGGCTCCTGAAATAGAGTTTCCCCAAAGCACCTTGCAACCCACCACACACACACACACCCAAGCACGCCTCCTTCCCTCCCGCAGGATGTCAGGGCTAGCAGCCTGCAGGTGTCTAATCCAACTTCCTCATTTCACACAGACAAAACTAGAGGCCCAGAGAGGGAAGGAACAAGGTCACGCAGCAGAGGCAGTGCCAGGACCAGAACCCCAGGCAGCCCGGCCCCTCCGTGGACAGAAGAGGACCCCTTCCTGCACACACCCAACCCTGTCCCTCCTTTATACTCTTCTTTCTTCAGCTCACCCTCCCCAGTGGAGGCCTCCTGGGGCTTACTCAGTCCCAGAGGAAATCTCAGCCTTCTTTGCCACAGCCCCTGAGCCTGCAGGGGCCAGCTAAGGTCCTGCTTCACCCAGGCCCCCTGGGGGATCTAACCGGGTCCTCCTCGCAGTCTGCTAATTACCTGGGGTGCTGCCGGGAGTGTGGATGGACAGCGCTTTGGGGAGTGCCTTGGAAGGCTGGTCCCCCTCCCTGGCCTCATTCACACGTCTGGCCTTCCAGCCTCAGTGTCTGCCTGGCAGGTGGAGTGCACGATCAAGGTACCACAGCCTGCTCCTCCGGGAAGCCCTGCCCCCCTGCTTCTCATCACCCCTCTGAGGACAATGCTGTGCTTTGTGGCTTAGAAGAAAGAGTAAAGACAGCCAGGCATGATGGTTCACGCCTGTAATGCCAGCACTTTGGGAGGCCGAGGCCAGTGGATCACAAAGTCAGGAGTTCAAGGCCGGTCTGGCCAACATGGTGAAACCCCGTCTCTACCAAAAATACAAAAATTAGCCGGGCATGGTGGTGGGTGCCTGTAATCCCACCTACTCAGGAGGCTGAGGCAGGAGAATTGCTTGAACCCGGGAGGCAGAGGTTGCAGTGAGCCAAGATCACACCACTGCACTCTAGCCTGGGTGACAGCGAGACTGTCTCAAAAAAAAAAAAAAAAGGAGAAGAAGAGTGGGTAAAGACTTCTAGCACCACAGCTGGAGGTGGGGTGGCGCTTTTTTGGATCTCTGATTTTTCTCTGTATGAGTGCACCACTCGGCTAAGGTCTCGGGAAAGTGGAGAAGCTGGTTAGCTGAGATGCATTTCCTATTGGGAAAGAGAAGCAAATGCTAAACGTCTACAGGAGGCCTCGTTCTGCCAGAGGGTCTGGGAGCCCTCCTATCACATGGCTTCATTCCAAGGATCCTTCCCAGTAGTTCTTCCTCTTCAACTGTCTATTAAAAGAAGCAGTTGAGTAGTTCAGCTGCCCAGTGGCTGACCTGTACTCCCTGCTTCTTCTATCCCTTCTCCGGCATCAGGAAGGCCCTGAGGCTGATCTTGTTACCTCCACGAGCCTCACTTCAGCCTGGTGCTTGGACCTGCACTCCCTGCTTCTTCTGTCCCTTCTCCGGCATCAGGAAGGCCCTGAGGCTGATCTTGTTACCTCCACGAGCCTCACTTCAGCCTGGTGCTTGGACCTGCACTCCCTGCTTCTTCTGTCCCTTCTCCGGCATCAGGAAGGCCCTGAGGCTGATTCTGTTACCTCCACGAGCCTCACTTCAGCCTGGTGCTTGGACCTGCACTCCCTGCTTCTTCTGTCCCTTCTCCGGCATCAGGAAGGCCCTGAGGCTGATACTGTTACCTCCACCAGCCTCACTTCAGCCTGGAGCTTGGACCTGCACTCCCTGCTTCTTCTGTCCCTTCTCCGGCATCAGGAAGGCCCTGAGGCTGATACTGTTACCTCCACCAGCCTCACTTCAGCCTGGTGCTTGGACCTGCACTCCCTGCTTCTTCTGCCCCTTCTCCGGCATCAGGAAGGCCCTGAGGCTGATACTGTTACCTCCACCAGCCTCACTTCAGCCTGGAGCTTGGACCTGCACTCCCTGCTTCTTCTGTCCCTTCTCCGGCATCAGGAAGGCCCTGAGGCTGATACTGTTACCTCCACGAGCCTCACTTCAGCCTGGTGCTTGGACCTGCACTCCCTGCTTCTTCTGTCCCTTCTCCGGCATCAGGAAGGCCCTGAGGCTGATTCTGTTACCTCCACGAGCCCCACTTCAGCCTGGTGCTTGGACCTGCACTCCCTGCTTCTTCTGCCCCTTCTCCGGCATCAGGAAGGCCCTGAGGCTGATTCTGTTACCTCCACGAGCCCCACTTCAGCCTGGTGCTTGGACCTGCACTCCCTGCTTCTTCTGTCCCTTCTCCGGCATCAGGAAGGCCCTGAGGCTGATACTGTTACCTCCACCAGCCTCACTTCAGCCTGGTGCTTGGACCTGCACTCCCTGCTTCTTCTGTCCCTTCTCCGGCATCAGGAAGGCCCTGAGGCTGATTCTGTTACCTCCACGAGCCCCACTTCAGCCTGGTGCTTGGACCTGCACTCCCTGCTTCTTCTGCCCCTTCTCCGGCATCAGGAAGGCCCTGAGGCTGATTCTGTTACCTCCACGAGCCCCACTTCAGCCTGGTGCTTGGACCTGCACTCCCTGCTTCTTCTGCCCCTTCTCCGGCATCAGGAAGGCCCTGAGGCTGATTCTGTTACCTCCACGAGCCCCATTCCAGCCTGGAGCTTGGCGCACAGTAGGCACTGAGTAAGTCAACTTGCTTCAACCAACACTTGAATCGAGCAGCTGTTTGAAGTGAATGCCCATTTCACTCAAAGCAGGTGATCCTATAGCCTTCAAGAAATGGGCTGGGCACAGTGGCTCACGCCTATAATCCCAGGACTTTGGGAGGCAGAGGCAGGCAGATCACTTGGGGTCAGGAGTTCGAGACCAGCCTGGCCAACATGGAGAAACCCCGTCTCTACTAAAAATACAAAAAATTAGCTGGGCATGGTGGCAGGAGCCTGCAATCCCAGCTACTTGGGAGGCTGAGGCAGGAGAGTCACTTGAACCTGGGAGGCAGAGGTTGCAGTGAGCCGAGACTGCACCACTGCACTCCAGCCTGGGCAACAGAGCAAGACTCTGTCTCAAAAAGAAAAGAAAAGAAAATAAATGCTCACACCATGTCTTCGCCAGCTTCAGCTAAAACTGCTCAATGGCAGGGACACATGAGCCTGGGCATGAAGGAATCAGCCTCAACAGGAGGGGGTTGCTATTGGGTTTCTGTTGCTTGTTTTGTTTTATTTTGTTTTGTTCTGTTTTTTTTTTTTTTTAGAGACAGGGTCTCGCTATGTTGCCCAGGCTGGTCTTGAACTTCTGGCCTCAAACAATCCTCCTGCCTCTGCCTCCCAAAGCGCTAGAATTACAGGCGTACGCCACCGTGCCCAGCCTCTTTTTATTTTCTTCTGACGATTCACATCACATTTTAAAAGCTGACGTGAATTTTGCACTTAACTGAGTTGAACTGCTGTGGCCTCATGAACCCCAGGAATCAGGATGGGCTGAAATTATTTGACGGGAAACATTTTCAGGCCTCATGGTTACCCATTGGCAATCACAGGCTC
This sequence comes from Homo sapiens, assembly GCF_000001405.40. Taxonomy (NCBI): domain Eukaryota; kingdom Metazoa; phylum Chordata; class Mammalia; order Primates; family Hominidae; genus Homo; species Homo sapiens. The sequence continues at coordinate 2,999,490 of NC_000017.11, read as the reverse complement.
ATCTTTCCTCCCCCTTAGAACAGTGGTTCCTGATATTTTGCGGAGCAGGGAGCGCTTTGAGAATTTAAGGTATGGCCTCTCTTTTCAGGAATCCAAGGAAAGGCACAAATTCAGCATTTTGCATTTATCTGCAGGGAGTCAGAGACTGCCTAACCCTTGCCTTGAAAGCCTGCCTCAGTCCAACGCCCTTGAGTCCCATGCCCGCCACAGCACTGTGATACCAAGAGACTGTTGCCCAAGAGGTGGAGATTCTTTCTCGTGGAGCAGAGGAGGGAGGGTCAGAGATCCAGCCATGAGGAGTGGGGAGCGGGGGACTGCAGGGGCAATGAGCTGCCCTGTCTCGCTGTCATCTGCACCGGTGAGGATTTCGAGCCATCTGACAGACCCGTGACTGCTTGGGAGGTTCAGACCCAGGTGCTTGCGTATCTGCCTCCCTGGAGGTCTTTAAATTAAGATCCATCATTTGTCCAAAACAGCCAGGCCAGGGCCTTACCCAGTGGCCAGGGTCTACCAGGCCCCTCCTCTCCACCCTCACCATCAACATTTTTTTCTTTTTTTCCTTCGTTAGCACCCTTCTATCGCTACCCTTTCCTGCTCGTCCTTTCCACGCTCTTTCTTTATTCCAGCTCTGCCTTACTCGAGCAAATGGCATCACCAAATTCCAAATACTACACTCACAGCGAGCAAATGGCATCACCAAATTCCAAATACTACACTCACAGCGAGCAAATGGCATCACCAAATTCCAAATACTACACTCACAGCGAGCAAATGGCATTACCAAATTCCAAATACTACACTCACAGCGAGCAAATGGCATCACCAAATTCCAAATACTACACTCACAGCGAGCAAATGGCATCACCAAATTCCAAATACTACACTCACACCTCCTCAATCCTCAAGTGAGATGCCATTGAGCCCGGAGGCAGCAAGGGGGATCAGGTGGCCTTGGAAGGTCCTCCCTACCCAGAATCTAGCTCCAAACCCCAGAAACCTGCAAACTCATGGAGAATCTCTGACTGCTGAGGACTAGTGTCCTCTGATATCACAGCATCCACACAGGGTGAGGTGTCGAGGCCCACCACTCCCTCCAACAAGGCGTTCTCCTTACCTTGTAGGATGGGGTCTCTGTGCCTGGGGTCTCGACCTGCACGACGATGTAGGCATGTAAGAAATTGGAGGCTATCATGTCTGGGACAAACGGCGTGTTTTCCTCTTGGAAGATGATGGCCACGATGTCATTTCCAATGTGTCTCTTTCTCTGGAGCTAAATAAAAAGTGTTGAGAGGTTATAAGCCAGTTAGGAAAATCATGAAAGATGTTTTGGGGAAAGAGTGGGTTCACTTTCCTTTGCACACAGGAAAACTGAATTCTGAGTGAGAAGAGTTCGTGGTTGTTGTTTTGGAAGTTTAAGTATGAAAGCACAGTACCAATGCCAGGCAGCAAGGGGAGAAGTGCATGGAACACGCTTCGTGCTTTGTGTATCTTTTGAGTTGCTTTCCTATTTGGGGAAAACCAGGGGGGTTCTTCTTTCAATCTTTTTTTTTTCTTTTTTTTTTTTTTTTGAGACAGGGTCTCACTGTGTTGCCCAGGCTGGAGTGCCGTGGCACGATCTCGGCTCACTGCAACCTCCGCCTCCTGGGTTCAAGTGATTCTCCCACCTTAGCCTCCCGAGTAGCTGGGATTACAGACGCGTGACACTACACCCACTAATTTCTGTATTTTTTGGTAGAGACGAGGTTTCACCATGTTGGCCAGGCTGGTCTTAAACTCCTGACCAGCCCGCCTCAGCCTCCCAAAGTGCTGGGATGATAGGCATAAGCCACTGTGCCCAACCTTCTTTCAATCTTTAGAAGCCACCAAAAAGGAAAAAAAAAATGGGGAAGATGGCCAAGTCGTTAGGTAGAGGCTAGCGAGCATCTTACTGACCTCTACAGCATGCAGATCCCTGACTCAGGACTTGGCAAGAATATTTAAAAGGCAAGGCGGGGTCTTGCCCTGGTAGAGCCTGTCATTGATCTGGGAGAAATACAAACACAGGTGAAGCCACCTGAGAAAACTAACAAAGCCACCAGCCAGCAAGGGCTAAGTCAGCTGCTGTGCATGAAATCCCTGACAGCTCTGGAGACAGAGGCAAGGGCAAAATTACAGGGCTGGAAAGCAACCTGAGAGGGCTTCCTGGAGGAGGAGACGTGTCAGGGGGTCTTGAAGGTGTGAATGAGAGTGATGAGGTGGCAGATCATGACAGCACTGCTCACCCAGCTTGGCGTAGGTGGGATGGAAGGAGGATCCCAACCATAACTCCATATCCCAAGCAGGGCCAGGTGCTTCTGGGTGTGATCTCGGCCACCAAGCACCTGGTGTGTCCCTGGAACCATGTTGGGCTGTTCATGCATGATATCAAATGTTAACCCTGTCCTGAAGTTCAAGGCCGCGGTGAGCTATGATCGCACCACTGCACTCCAGCCTGGGTGAGAGAGTGACAGCCCTCCTCACACACACACAAAAACCCGCTCCTGTATGTCGAGTCCTGGCTAGGTGCCTGTCTATGCATTTGTTCCTTTGTTAAGCACCCACTGCATGCAGGCCCAATGCTCAGTCCCTTCACACTGAGTTTCTCATTCACTGAGCACCTGTTTTACACCAAGCACTGTGCTGGGCACTTTCACACAAATTGCCTCACTTACTCCACGCGCATCTTTCCATTTCTCAGGAAGAGAAACTTAATATTTACTCAGTCCCCGCCAAGAGCCGAGCCCTGTGCCAAGGTGTATTTCCCAAGAAACACACATAAGACTGAGAAGGCCCAGAGAGAACAGGCCTCAGGCCCAGGCCGGGGCAGCAGGTGAGAGAGGCCATAAGGGAACAGAGGGGCTGGAGGTGAAAGGTTGAATGAAAACCCACTTTGGATACAAAAGGATTTCTGCTTCCATTTGTTTCTGGAACATTCAGTAGCTATTTTAGAGCCAACTCATCATCTCGTTTGCCAATTTCCTTCTTTCCTAAGAAGCCAGGCACTATGTTTACAATTTTACATCTGTGCTCCCTCCCCAGTTCCTGCTCAGAGACACACAGGTCAGAGTTTGGGCAAAGGCCTGCCTGCATTTTCTTATTTTCCCAGACTGAAAAGGGGCAGAAGGCAGGCTGGGGGAACTGGGCTTGTAACAGCCAGGAACCAGCCGCGGCTCTCCCCAGGGATGCACGGCTGTCAGAGCAGCAAACGGGGGGCACGGCAGGAAAGCAGTGGGGACAGGGGTCTCGTCCAGGTCTCCCTAGTGGAGGTCAAGGCTGAATTCCCACAGGTGTGGTGAGAGAGGAGCCTGTGAGATGAGGAAGGCTGGGGGTGGGGAAGGATTCTCACGCAATAACCAGCCTTCCGTCACTGGGGCAGGAAGGGGGACAAAATGACCAGGGGCTGGACAGTGAACAGCTGTTCTATAGGAAGCCAGCCATGAATTGGGCATCGTATGAACCCTAGTCAGAAATGTATGTAATCCCCACAATCACCCTCTACCATGGGTGGTGTTACCCCCCATTTTATAGATGAGAAGGTTAACTGGCTTGCCCAGAGTCACACGCTCCAAAGTGGCACAGGCGGCTTCAGGCCCCCATCTGCAAACCCCACCATGCACCCTTTGCCACCACCCTCTATGACCAGGGCCCCCAGGCTCTGCCCTGGGCTCTGCCCCTGATAAACGGAGAAACCTCAAGGAAGTCTTGTCACCACCATGGGCTGCAGTTTTCCCATCAGTCAACGTGGAAGAAACACAAGCTCTGCCCCGCCTCCCGCCCAGGGCCCCTGAGGTGTGGCCTCGGCCAGAAACACAACAGAACGGACCGCTGAGGCACAGCCTCGGCCAGAAACACAGCAGAACGGACTGTGACGCTGCTGCGCAGCTGAACGAATGGCCGGCTACGGGAACGAATATGGGGACGGCCACAGCCTCTTAGCAGGTCAGACCAGAGGCAGGCCCTCACCTCGCCCGCCCTGGGCTCCCAAAGCCCTCCCAAACCAGGTTACCTGCTGGGCGTCTCCGTCGGTAAATGGCAGCTTTGTGGAAACGTGAAACATGATCTCCCTGTCCCGGAATGTTGTGTACACTGATTCCACCCCTGTCTGTCCGTGGGTCACGTCCAGGCCTCCTCGGAAACTGTCAACAAAACAGGGCAGGAGATGGGGAGAAAAGAGAGTGAGGCAAAGTGGGCAACTTAATGCAAGCTCCCCTAAGTATACGCAGCAGAGGATACGCAGCAGAGGAGACAGGAGAGCTGAGGGCAGAGCAGGCTGTGATGTGGGAAAAGCAGGTAGATCTGTTCTTCCAGGTATATCAGCGCTGGCACTCTACCCACAAACCCATTATTTAGACAAAGCTGGCCGGGCGCAGTGGCTCACGCCTGTCATCCCAGCACTTTGGGAGGCCGAGGCAGGCAGATCACCTGAGGTCAGGAGTTCGAGACCAGCCTGGCCAACATGGTGAAACCCCCGTCTCTACTAAAAATACAAAAGTTAGCCAGATATGGTGGTGCATGCCTATAATCCCAGCTACTCAGGAGGCTGAAGCAGGAGAATCGCTTGAACCCAGGAGGTGGAGGTTGCAGTGAGCCGAGATGGCGCCACTGCACTCCAGCCTGGGCAACAAGAGCAAGACTCCATCAATCAATCAATCAACCAATCAATCACAAAGCAGAACCTCCATCTCAAGCCTTGGCTGTGCCGTGTCCACACTTGCTGGTTATATGGGAAGGAAGCGCATCCATCCACAATCCCAGACAAATGCCCATCCCCGGTGCCATTCCCCCAAGGTGGGGCGCCGGCCTTTCTTTGCTCTCTGCAAGGCCATGTCCAAGTCCTCTGCCCAGAGCTAGGGCAGCCAGCCATCCTGGTGGCTGGTGGGGAGCCCCAGAGGAGCATCTGGAGTCAGTCAGAAGAGGTGGCAGATGCTCAACTTCTGCCTAGCTAGTCCCTAAGATACAGGCCCAACCACTGCAGCATCCCGCTTGGGAGTATCCAGGGAAGTCCCTTCTCTGGCTGTCTCCTCACAGGCAAGAAAGAAAAGCTCTAAGGAACTGGGTGGGCTTCCAGGAGTTGTCCCTTCTGCCTTTATACACACGGCTGCCAGCTTTGATCACAGTCTTCAGCAGATGCAGGTTCCTTTAAGAAAATGAAATAAGATGGACCTAGAATCTCAGCATCCCCAACACTACAATACAAGCCAGAAAATGTGCCCAGGCTGGCATGGCAGAAAGAATGCTGGACAGGGGGCAGGAGCTCCGGGTTCTAGACCTGCTTCTGCCACTAAATCAGCACGTGATCGTGGACAATTCATTTAGTCTCTCTAGGCCTCCATAAAATAAAGGGATAGAATTTCATAACTCTGAGGACCTTCTGGGCTTACTATACTGTATTTCAGCTATTCTAAGGCCCACGTTTAGTTTTGGTTTCAGTCAGGGGTTCACTCTGTCATCCAGGCTGGAGCGCAATGGTGTAATCATGGCTGACTGCAGCCTCAACCTCCTGGGCTCAAGCGATCCTCCTCGCCTCAGCCTGCCAAGTAGCGGGGACCACAGGAGCACACCACAATAGTCAGCTAATTTTTATAATTTTTCAAATTTTTGTTAATGACAGGGTCTCACCATGTTGCCCAGGCTGGTCTCAAACTCCTGGGCTCAAGCGATCCACCCGCCTCGGCCTCCCAAAGTGCTGGGCTTACAGGTGAGACCCACCATGCCTGGCCGTTTTTTCACATTTTAAAGTCACAGGATGTGTCTTATAATGATAGCATCTCAAAGTCAATGGAAGGTGGCAATATAAGAACAATAACAATCGTGACTAGCTAGCCCTGAACAGCACTTAAGTGTTTCGTGAGCATTATCTTATCTTTTATTTTTTATTTATTTATTTATTTTTTTTTTTTTAGACAGAGTCTCACTCTGTTACCCAGGCTGGAGTACAATGGCACAATCTCAGCTCACTGCAGCCTCCATCTCCTGGGTTCAAGCGATTCTCCTGCCTCAGCCTCCCAAGTAGCTGGGACTACAGGCACGTGCCACCACGCCCGGCTAATTTTTCGTATTTTTAGTAGAGACGTGGTTTCACCATGTTGGCCAAGATGGTCTCAATCTCCTGACCTCGTGATCTGCCCGCCTCAGCCTCCCAAAGTGCTGGGGTTATAGGCGTGAGCCACCACGCTCAGCCCATTATCTTATTTTAATCCCCCCAAAACCTTTTAGGGCTGACACTATCTTTACCTCCTTTTTTTTTTTTTTTGACAGAGTCTCCCTCTATTGACCAGGCTGAAGTGCACTGGCGCAATCTCAGCTCATTGCAACCACTGCCTTTTGGGTTCAAGCGATTCTCCTGCCTCAGCCTCCCAAGTAGCTGGGACGACAGGCACCTGCCACCATGCCTGCCTAATTTTTTTTTTTTTTTTTTGTATTTTTAGTAGAGACGGGGTTTCACCATATTGGCCAGGCTGGTCTCAAACTCCTGACCTCGTGATCCACCCACCTCGGCCTCCCAAAGTGCTGGGATTACAGGCGTGAGCCACTGAGCCCAGCCCTTTATCTCGCTTTTTACAGTGAGGAAACTGAGGCTTATAGAGGTCAAGTCACTTATCCAAAGTCACAGAGCTAATAAGTGATGGAGCGGGGGTTTTATCCCAGGTGTGACTGACCCCAGACAGCCGTGATGACCTTGAGGGAGGGAGAAGATGGAGGAAGAGAGGAAAGGAAAAAGAAGGAAGGACAGAGAAGGAAGCAGAGGAAGAAAGCAATTAGTGAATATCCGCTGTGTGCCAGGCACTGGGCTAGGTATTTTCACACGATGTGAGGAGCTCATGTCAATCTGGCTGCTGGGATGGAGAATTCTGGGGCCTGGAGCCATCTGCCAGCCACCAAGGACAAAACAGGCTGGCCAGGTCTGGACTCATCCCAAATGCGGTCTTGGCCAAGGAAAGTCAAGGGCCAGAGTTTTCCAAGCAACGGCCCCAATGTTCTATCTTACTGCCCACTTAAAAAAGCATAGACTGAGCCAGGCACGGTGGCTCACGCCTGTAATCCCAGCACTTTGGGAGGCCCAGACGGGCGGATCATGAGGTCAGGAGATCGAGACCATCCTGGCTAGCATGGTGAAACCCCGTCTCTACCAAAAATACAAAAATTAGCCAGGCATGGTGGCGCGCGCCTTGTAGTCCCAGCTACTCGGGAGGCTGATGCAGGAGAATCGCTTGAACCCAGGAGGCAAAGGCTGCCATGAGTCAAGATCGCACCACTGCATTCCAGCCTGGCAAAGCGCATGACTCCATCTCAAAAAAAAAAAAAAAAGCATAGACTGTTGTATGGACTCCTGCCTGAGGAACTGTTATATTTGCATCAGCTCCTCATGATGCATTCTTTGTGTATTATCTAAAATAGGTCATTTCAGGCCAGGCGCGGCGGCTCACGCCGGTAATCCTAGCACTTTGGGAGGCTGAGGTGGGTGGATTGCCTGAGCTCAAGAGTTCAAGACCAGCCTGGGCAACATGGCGAAACCCCGTCTCTACTCAAATACAAAAACCTTAGCTGGGCGTGTTGGCGGGCGCCTGTAGTCCCAGCTACTCCGGAGGCCGAGGCAGGAGAATCGCCTGAACCTGGGAGGTGGAGGTTGCAGTGAGCTGAGATCACACCACTGCACTCCAGCCTGGGCAACAGAGCAAGACTCTGTCTCCAAAAATAAAAAAATAAAAAATAAAATAAAATAGGTCATTTCCCCCCAAAACTGCACGGGGCTCCCTTTCCCACACACCTGGCAGGTGAGTGACAGGGAAGGTGGATTCCTTCCATTCTCAGTCTGGGCCAAAGGTAAGTAGGAAGGCACATCTGGGGCGGGGCCCAGGGCCGAACGTGAACGCCTTCAGGGGAATCTGCCACACTGGATCACTCCTTGGACCCCTGATTCCTTAGAAATGCAGTGAGCGACAAGACCCTGAAAAGCCATCCCTCATTTCTTGTGTGTTTTTAACTCACACGTGCTCCCTGAGGACTGAGCTGTCTTGCCCTTCCTCTAGTGCCCTTGTTGATGGAGCTGGAGCCGTCACTTGGCTAAAACCCACCCTTTGAAATCCTGCAGTGTGATCGTGTCCCCCAGCAGGTCCAAGAACTCCTTAAAAGCTGGGCTCTCCTCATTGTTCCCAAATAGCTCCTCCTCCAGGGTCTGAAAGAGAAACAGGAATAAGGGCAGGAATTAGAAAAATTCTTTCTGATGCTAAAGGAAGGAATATGGATGCCCAGGTACCTGGTCCCTTTCTTCCTTTCTCCCTGTCTCCCAGCACATCCACCATAGCTGCCCTCAGTGGGACTGGGGTGGAGAGAGGAGGGACTGATGGAGACTCACTCCCAGTACTTTGGGAGGCTGAGGCGGGTGGATCACTTGAGGTCAGGAGTTCGAGACCAGCCTGGCCAACATGGTGAAACCTTGTCTCTACTAAAAATACAAAAAGTAACTGGGCATGGTGGTGGGTGCCTGTAATCCCAGCTGCTCGGGAGACTGAGAGAGGAGAATCGCTTGAGCCTGGGAAGCGGAGGTTGCAGTGAGCCAAGATCACACCATTGCAGTCCGGTCTGGGTGACAGAGTGAGACCCCGTCTCAAAAAAAAAAAAAAAAAGAATAAAGAACTCTGAAAACTCTAAAGTAATCAAAACCACAATGATATACCACTTCCCACCCACTAGGATGGCCACAATGAAAAATAAAGGCAATAAAAGGCAATAACAAGTGTTGGTGAGGGTGTGGAGAAATCAGAACCATCACACGCTGCTGCTGAAAATGGAAAATGACGCAGCCACTGTGGAAAACAGTCCAGCAGTTCCTCAAAAGGCTAAATGCAGAGTCACTATATGATCTGGCAACAGCACTCCCAGGCAGGTCCCGAAAGCTAAACGCAGAGTCACCATATGATCCGGCAACTTCACTCCCGGGCATATACCAAAGGCTAAACGCAGAGTCACCATGTGATCCAGAAACTTCACTCCCAGGCATATATGGAAAGCTAAACGCAGAGTCACCATATGATCTGGCAACTTCACTCCCAGGCATATACCAAAGGCTAAACGCAGAGTCACCATATGATCTGGCAACTTTGCTCCCGGGCATGTGCCAAAGGCTAAACAGAGTCACCAAATGATCCAGAAACTTCACTCTGAGGTATATACCAAAGGCTAATCATAGAGTCACCATATGATCTAGCAACTTCACTCTCAGGTATACACCAAAGAGAAATGAAAACATGTCCACAGAAAATGTATGCATGAATATCAATAGCAGCACTATTCATAATGGCCCAAAAGGAGAAAGAACCCAAATGTCCATCTGATGAATAGATAGACAAAATGTGGGCTATCCACACAATGGAATATTATTTGGCCATGAACAAGGAACAACGTGCTGATACATACTACGACCTGGATAAACACTGAAAATATTACGCTGAGTGAAAGAAACCAGACACAAAAGGCCACATATGATGATTCCATTTATAAAAGGTCTAGAATAGGCAAATCTGTAGAGACAGAAATTAGATTAGGGTTGGCAGGAACTAAAGGAAAGGGGGATGGGGAGTGCCTGCTGGTGAGTGTGGGGTTTCTTTTGGGGGTGATGAAAATGTCTGGAGTTAGTGAGGACAGGTGCACGATTCTGTGGTTACACTACAAACCACTGAACTGCACACTTCATTGAGATATAAATTACATAACATTATGAATTATATGGTACAAGAATTATGCTGATGTGCTCAATAAAGCTGTTATTTTTAAAAATGTTTTTAACCCAACAGTTAAAAAAAAAAATCCATTTAGAAAATGGTCAAAAGACATGAAAACGGCCGGGCGCGGTGCCTCACGCCTGCAATTCTAGCACTATGGGAGGCCGAGGCGGGTGGATCACTTGAGGTCCAGAGTTCGAAACCAGCCTGGCCAACATGGCAAAACCCAGTCTCTACTAAAAATGCAAAAATCAGCTGGGCATAGTGGCACGTGCCTGTAGTCCCAGCTACCTGGGAGGCTGAGGTGGGAGAATCGCTGGAACCCGGGAGGCAGAGGTTGCAGTGAGTAGAGATCACACCACTGCACTCCAGCCTGGGTGACAGAGTGAGACTCTGTCTCAAAAAAAAGACATGAACAGGCATTTCCCCTAAGAGGATATACAGATGGCAAATAAGCACATGAAAAGATGTCCAACATCATTAACCATTAGAGAAATGCAAATTAAAACCATAAGGTGATACCACTACACATCTATCAGAATGGCTAAAATAAAAAACAGTCACAACACCAAATGCTGGCAGGTTATAGAGAAACTGGATCACTCATACACTGCTGGTGAGAAGAAACACTAGAAAACTGTTTGGCAGTTTTTTTTTTGTTTTGTTTTTGTTTTTTGAGACAGAGTCTTTTTGAGATGGAGTCTCACTCTGTCACCCAGGCTAGAGTGCAGTGGTGCAATCTCGGCTCACGGCAACCTCTGCCTCCCAGGTTCAAGCGATTCTCCTGCCTCAGCCTCCCGAGTAGCTGGGACTACAGGCGCCCACTACCACCTGGCTAATTTTTTGTATTTTTAGGAGAGACAGGGTTTCACCGTGTTAGCCAGGATGGTCTCAATCTCCTGACCTCGTGATCCGCCCACCTCGGCCTCCCAAAGTGCTGGGATTACAGGCGTGAGCCACTGCGCCCGGCCGGCAGTTTCTTACAAAACTAAACACATAATTACCATACAACTCAGCAGGTGTATTCCTAAGCATGTATCCCAGAGAAATGAAAACTTATGTTCACACAAAAACCTATATACAGATGTTCACAGCAACTTTATTCATAATAGCCAAAAATGTCTTTCAGTGGGTGATGGTTAAACACAAACTGTGGTACAGTTATAATACCACAGAGTACTACTCAGCAATGAAAAAGAACACAGTATTGATACACCCAAGAACTTGGATTAATCTTGCTGACTGGAAAAAAGCCAATCTCAAGTGGTTATACACTATATGACTACATTTATATACCATTTTTGAAATAACAATGTTTTAGAAGTTGGAGAACAGATGAGTGGTTGTCAGGGGTTACGGACTGGAGCTGGGAGATTGATGTCCACATCCTGGTTGTGGTATTGTGCTATCGTTTTGTCAGACATTACTTTGCGGGGAAAGTAGGTAAAGGGTACATGAGATCTCGCTGTATTATTTTTTACAACTCTATGTGAATCTACAAATACCTAAAGATAAAAAGGTTAGTAATTTTTTTTTTTTTTTGAGATGGAGTTTCGCTCGTTGCTCCAGCTGGAGTGCAATGGCACGATCTCGGCTCACTGCAACCTCTGCATCCCAGGTTCAAGTGATTCTCCTGCCTTAGACTCCCAAGTAGCTGGGACTATAGGCGCCCACCACCACTCCTGGCTAATTTTGTAAAAAACAAAGCTGAAAACAGTAGCAAGCTCTGCAAACAGTAACAGCCTTCAAACACTGCCTGATCAACAGGCTCTACCCACAGTAGCAGGATGTACAAACAGCTGAAGGCTCTGCAAACATGCACAGGCTGCCATGAAGAGCGGCAGATGATACAAAGACACTCTAGCCTACCCAATCACTTCAAGAGAATGTCTTCAGTAGGTAATTGTAACAATAACAACAAAAAGCAGAACTTGGGCTCCATGCCTTCAACAGGCAACAGAATCTGGTAGATTTCAATAATTTTATTTTGCTTTTTACAGTATTTTTTTTTTAGAATTACCTTCATTTCATGATACTGGTTTTCCAGTTAGAGGAGTGATATAAAATTTCCTTTAAAAATAAATGCATGTTGCTGGGTGCAGTGGCTCACCCCTGTAATACCAGCACTTTGGGAGGCCAAGGCAGGCGGATCACCTGAGGTCGGGAGTTCGAGACCAGCCTGACCAACACGGTGAAACCCCGTCTCTACTAAAAATACAAAATTAGCTGGGCGTGGTGGTGCCTGCCTGTAATCCCAGCTGCTCGAGGGAGCTGAGGCAGAATTGCTTGAACCCGGGAGGCGGAGGTTGCAATGAGCCGAGATCACACCTTTGCACTCCAGCTTGGGCAACAAGAGCAAAACTCCGTCTCAAAAAAATAAAAATAAAAATAAAAAATAAATGTATGTAAGTTTAAAACAAAACTTTTTAAAGAAAATATTTCGTTAAAATATTGTGATAAAGATCTTAACAGTGGCATAGGGTGCAACAAATGCTATGATACAGATCCTGGATATGGTCTGTGAATGTCTGAAGGCTGGGAAACACCGCACTCTAGAAGGAGTCAACAAACTGCAGCCCATGGGCCAAGTCTGGCCTGCTGCCTGTGTTTATCGATAAAGTTTTATTGGAACGCAGACAGGCCAACTCATTTATCTATTGTCTATTGCTACTTCTGCACCACCAAGGCAAAGCTGAGAGGCTGTCACAGAGACTCCAAGGCCCATGAAGTCTAAAAATATTTACTATCTGGCCCTTTACCCAAAAAAGTTTGCCAATCCCTGATCTATAGCATGCCATGAAGGCGTCACAACTCTAGCCACATGTCCTACTTGCCCCAGGTCATGAGGCCAGACTGTGGAAGAGCAGCTGCTTCCAGGCAAACTACATCTCCCACTAGAAAAACAATGCAGCGTGTGCTGTGGGACCTGCACTTCTCTTGCAAGATTCACATCCAGCCTGAGAGTAGTAGTATTGCCATTATTTTGATCCTGGCCTTGAGCTGGACTGTGCACTCAGGGAGGGGTCTTAGTCACCGTATCCCCCAGCATGCACAGCACAGTGAACAGCAAACACGAGAGTTAGGTGAGGCTCATTTATACCCAGAGACCAGCATAGGGCTTTGATGCAACAAATGTTCATATTAAATGTCCCCCAGCTGCAGGTTTGCAAAACAACAATCTGCCTAGGTTCTTAAAAAAAAAAAAAAAAATTATCTTCTTGGCTTTTTCCTCCACAGCAGCATCAGGTACATAAACAATACACAGACTCCCTCTCGGAGACGGATGGCTCATGTTCAGTAATTATAACTTTGCTGGAACATTGGATTATAATCAGCTTATAAGATCCGCTTTGGTAAATTCCACAAGCAAAGAACTTTAATTAGGGGGTTTTATTAGCAAAGCTGTATAAAATAAAAATGTAATATGTGAAAATGATTATAGTAGCTACCTGAATAATCTCCCTTAACTTATAAGATTCATCAGTGTTCGTCTTGCAGATCCTAAACTCTTCATATAATTAGAATATTTTTAAGCAAACGCATGTCTCTTAAGGGCCAATATCTCTAAATGAGAACATCAGGTGTCGTCTAACCAAGAAAGATACCATCATGCAAAAAAATACAAATAGTATCAGAAGATACTATTAACCTGCCATTAGTAGGGCCAACATTTTTATTCGTTCATTAACTCACCTAACAGTGGAGTGTATTTATATGAAGGTGTATTTCTATGCTAGGCTCTTAGATGATACAAAGATGAAATGGGTGTGGAACTTTTCTCTCAAAGAGTCTCGGTGAGGAAACAGTGTGTTCAGCTAACCCCTCTACTTGGGATGTTAATAAATGTTCATGGTAGGAAAGAGGTAGGGAAGATGGGAAGTTTGTGTCCGTAAGTATGGAAACCACTAAGTTCAACAAAGTTATAAAGAGCCCTTTACCTTGGGGGTTCTTTAAGCCTTTAAAAGGTTCCCACACAAGTGACAACCCCTCCCCAGGTCATTTGCTCACAGAGTACACCATCAGACTCGCATTCATGAAACACACTTTGAGAAACATGGTTCTGGCCAGTTAACTCCAAAGCAACGTGTGAGGGCTACAAAACACAGAGGCTGAGCAGTGGTGTGCTGGCATATTTTGAGTCACTGGCTCTCCAAAGGAGGAAGATAGAAACCCTGGTGTTTGCAAATTTCCATAGTGTAAATACTTCCACCATGGTTGACTTCAAGCTGCCAACATGATGTCACGGAACAGAGTTGTGAAGAGACGCACCCAGCTGGCTCCATCACATCACTCAAGTTTGGGGAGAAAAAGCTAATTCCCAGTGGGGAGAAATTTGGGCAAGGAGAGAGCAGCCTATGCTCCTCCATTCCCTTGACCTAGTCTGGTTTTTCTTATAACCAGCAGCCCATAAATACGTAGAAGACGAGGCAGCCAGGAAGAATGAGAATTTGCTATATTAAAAAAAAAAAAACATCACTGTTTAAGGACGTGCAGGCCTTTTTGTAAGAAGTACCCTTGCTGGAAAGTTCTGCCACCTCCAGTCTAATTCATACCTTAAATGTGACCGTTGTATTCCAAATGCTTCAGAACGCAGGTCAGGACTCCTGTGTTCTGGGTGGGGATAAAAAGAGTCCTAAGTGAGAAACCACGGGATACAGTCACCGGTATGGATGGTGCTGCTTACCTGCCTGGCTTTTTGATAAATGACTCCGAATTTGAATGTGTTGTTGACTTCATGCTCATCATAGGACACAATCATTTGGGAGGCCTGGAAAATGTGGCAAGAAAAAAAAAATCAACATTTGTTAAATTTGGAAGCAAGTGAGGAAGCACATGGCAGGGGAAGCATCCATTTGGGGAGAGAATGTGTTCCCTGGTATGAAACATCCACATACACGGAGGGAGAGAGAGAGAAATAATAAGTAGACAGTCAGGCCGCAGCTCCAAAGTCAGCTAGCTTCTAAAACTTGGGCTTCCCCAGTAGGAACCAAACCTCTGTATCACTCATTCCACTCCCATCCAGATGTGCCAGTCAAGGCTCGGGCACATGTGTCCAGCAGCTTACTTAACCCTAGTGTTGAATCTGTGGTGTAAAAAGTGAAGCCAAAACCCCAAAACTGGTCAGCAAGGATAACTCTAGTCCTAATTCCACCTCTAATCAGCAGCATGAGTCCGAGCAAGTCACCGCTCCTGACCAAACTTCAGTCCCCTCTGCATAAAATGAGAGGTCTCTAAGGAGACCACGCTAAGGAGGAACATACCCTAATACAATATGCAAAGAGGAAATGTTTAAAACCTGACTCCTGGTTCTATCTAATTTTCCGTTACGCATCATAGAGTTGATGACTGGGATCAGAAAAATTAAACTCCAAGTTTTTTCGGGTTTTGTTGTTTTTGTTTTTTGAGATGGAGTCTCGCTCTGTCACCCAGGCTGGAGTGCAATGGCGTGGTCTTGGCTCACTGCAACCTCCGCCTCCCGGGTTCAAGCAAGTCTCCTGCCTCAGCCTCCCGAGTAGTTGGGATTACAGGCCCCCACCATCACACCGGCTAATTTTTGTATTTTTAGTAGAGACGGGGTTTCACCATGTTGGCCAGGCTGGTCTCGAACTCCTGACCTTGTGATCCGCCTGCCTCAGCCTCCCAAAGCGCTGAGGTTACAGGCATGAGCTACCACGCCCAGCCTAAACTCTAGTTTTGAATCCACTGTTTTTACCTATGTAGCTTTGAGTGAGCTGCTTCTCTGGAGCTGAGTTTCCTCATCTGTTAAACGCAGATGTGTGGTTATGAAGATTCAAAAAGAAAGAACTGAGCACAGAGCAGCTATCATCATCATCAACACCATCATCATCTATATGACCCTCCAGAAATATCAGAGCTGAACCAGCTTACTGGGGGAAGAAAAGATCTGGGAGCTGTTGGGATAACCTCAGCAATAAAAAGGAGGGATTCTCAGTGTGGAGACTTGAAATTTGAACGTCCCTTCCAACTTTTACATTAAAAATAAAAAGACAAGAAAACTGAGTATCATTTTTCACCTGTACAAGGAATAGTAATGGATCGTCTTACAGTTGGTCTAGGAAAAAAACCTTGGTGTGTGTTATGGACAATTAACTGTTAAAGCTATTTTAAATTATCTGTACTTAGCAGAGTACTTTCGACTTGAGTGATCTGAGCTGAATTTGAAGACCATTAATAAGTTATGTTTGGAAGTTTTAACTTCAATGAAGTAATTATTTGCTACGAAAGACACAAACATTAAATTACTAAACAAAGATGGCGCAATATCTTTGTTTCTGTTTTGTTTTGTTTTTTATGACGCTCCTGAGAATCAACCCAACTGAAGCATGTCAACGCACTTGAATGAGAAACGTGTTTAGCGTCCAAAGAGCCCAAAAAGGCACCAGTGTGAAAGGTTCAATCTCAGAGGCTGGTCAATTACCGTGGCACACTTTCTGGTCACTTTGCACAACTTAGATTTGAAGGACAGCGGTGAAAACATTAAATGTGACATTTAAAAAAGAAAAAAAAAAAGGAGGGATTCAACCACGCGTTATGCGAGAGGAAGAACAAACCAGGAACGACTTATTGGCCGGAATCTGCGGCCTGTGTGAGGTTGCCACACACTGTGTGTCTCTGTGAGGCTCTCAGCTGTCAGCTGTCTGGGGAAACGGACGCTTCGCAGCTCCCCCAGCGACGGCGCTGCTGCCCGACCCTGGAGCCTCCACTCCTGCCTGGGTGAGTCACAGGGGAGGAACAGCTGCCCTGCCAGGGAGAGGCACCAGGCCATGGAGAACGTCCAAAGAACGTTCTAAACTCTGCAAATTTTAAAAACACACACATGCGTGCATCTCAGCCAGATGAACATCCCAGCCGGACTCAGCGGTCCTTCAGATACAGAAAACATGAAAATACAGCTGCTCTTCCATTATGACCAAGGCCCGAGGCTTTCCAAGGGATAGAGAGAACTCTGCAAATAAACACCATTGGTCCTCTCGGTGGCTAAGATTTGACAACCAAAATTGCCAAACCGGTAGTTAAGTTAGACCTTTATGATGGGATTTTAATGTCTGGTTAAACCCCACTCATTCAGTTGTAATTATAAAGGGGAGGTCAGTCTCAATGAGAGAAAATGTTCAATGAAGCGTAGCATACTCCTGGTATCAACAGATGCTAAAACAGCTAAACAGAGGCACGTGGAAGACGAAAGGCTCTGTGCAGGAAAGGACTCCGCCATTCGCTCAGCCACTGCAGATGGATACACGGCTGCTTCTGAGAGTGGCATGCCCAATCCTGAACACTGAAAGTGTTTGTTCCAGCCGGGCGAGGTGGCTCACGCCTGTAATCCCAGCACTTTGGGAGGCCAAGGAGGGCAGATCACCTGAGGTCAGTTCGAGACCAGCCTGGCCAACATGGTGAAACGCCCGTCTCTACTAAAAATACAAAAATTAGCTGGGCATGGTGGCGCACACCTGTAGTCCCAGCTACTTGGGAGGCTGAGGCAGGAGAATCGCTTCAACCAGGAGGTGCAGGTTGCAGTGAGCCAAGATCACGCCACTGCACTCCAGCCTGGGTGACAGAGCGAGACTCAGTCTCAAAAAAAGAGTGTTTGTTCCAGGGGATTCTGGATGTCTCTGCTGGAATGGGGCCTCTCTTCCTCACCAGACATTTCATCTCACGGGTCCTGGTTGTCAGAGTTGGGACTCAGAGGATAGACAGAGCCGGTCCCAGCAGGCCTCAGCCGCTGCAGCGTGACCCACGGCAGAAGCTCAGAAGCACAGCTCTGCTTCCGTTGTCCCTCTCCAGAGCCTGCTGGCCCATGAAGACGCAGTCGATGCACTGGGTCTTTTCCTGTGGCCAATTTCAAGCAATTCACTGTCCATGGGTGACTTCAGTCCTCTTGTGCCATAATTATTCCTCAGTGGGTTTATTATTATTGCTCTTCTTCCCACTCACACGCCCATATCAGAACTGGGGTCAGTATCAGGCCAATTCAAAGGAAGCTGATATCAGAAAACCAGCTGGTTTATAAATGAAGGCAGCAGAGGCTTATATGGCCGGAGAGCTGCAGTAACACAGGCAATGGCGGGGCGGCTGTCTGGCCTTTCTCTTCTTGGTGTCTGCCTGCTGTACTTCCCGCCCCTCTGTGACAGCAGACTGGATCTGCACCAGCCCCCAGCTACAGAGTCACGTCCACCTCCAGCACTGGCCTCAGGGAGGTACCAATGAGGTGTGGTGGAGAAGCTACAACACTGCTACCCTCTGTCACCTTCACAGCAGCCTGGGGACCAATTCAGCTGGGCTGGAGACCTAGGCATGGCTGAGGTTGGGTTCCCAGTGGAGCAGTTTGTGAAGGGGTGGGCAGGGAGAGAGGGAGACATGGAAGCTTATTATGGAGACCCCACGAAACCCCACTATGATGCAGAGAACTCCCCAAAGAGCCACAGGTCTGCAAATCCTTGCCAAGCTGCAGGGCCCCTATGTTGGGAGCATGAAGGTCCTTACCTTGGGGTACAGGACAGGATTGAATCTCAGTCCCACTGCATCATCACAGAAAGCCTGAGAAGGGAGAAGAAGACGCAGGTCAGGGATGATATCTGTAGAGGACATCTGGGCTCCTCTGCCCACCTGGACAATGCGGCATGGGAGGGCGAGGCACATGGGTCAGGAGGCCTGGGCGGGGATTCTGACTGCTGCTCACTAACACGTGCCCAGGCAAGTCAACCGCCCTTTCTGGGGTTTGCTGATGAAGTGTGGGAAGGGATTAGACAAAGCCTGAGGCTCGTCACCGTTCTGGCCTGAAGACAAGGCCAAAAACTATCCAGCCCACAACTGCCACCAAAGGTTTCCAGCACAATTCTGTGACATTCCTGCTCCCAGAGTGAGGGTCCAACCAACCCAGCTGACTCTCTTGCTCACCCACTTTGCTAACTCAGTTCTCAGGTTCGCAGCCTCCTTACTCAAGGGGGTGCTCAATCTGGATCATCCTTCAGCCCAACTCAGCCCTTTCCTCTGCTGTGAAGGTTCCCCAGGCCACCCGCCCTCACCCCTCCACGGAAGTCCTACAGCACTCACCACATCCAGCCCCGTCTTTCTACTTCTCTCACTTCCCAAACTAGCTGTGAACTACCTGGAAGTAGAGACCATGGAGGATACTGTTCCTAAGCAGCCTCGGCAACAAGGATGAGCTATGGAGGGCGTAGGAAAGACAGAGGCATCTGCCCACAGCCCTCCCAGACCCCTATCAGTGCAGTCAATGGCCAAAGAGTAAAGTGGCCTCCCCTTCTCTAAGGGCTGAGCCTACCCAGGATATACCTGCACCCCCATTCCAGAGGCCAGCCCTGGGCTGAGAGAGGAAGCCACCATCTCTCACGGGTTGGTTTCTCACCTTTGCAATCTGAGGGACACTGGGAAGCTTGCTCAGTCCAGCCAAGGGGATCCGCTCATGTACCGTCTTCAGTTTGGACCTGCACAAGACGGGAGAAAAAAGGACATCCCTAAGAAACAGTCAGTGAGGGCGCGGGGACTCGTGCCTGTCATCTCAGCATTTTGGGAGGCCAAGGAGGGCAGATCACTTGAGGTCAGGAGTTCGAGACCAGCCTGTCCAACATGGTGAAACCCAGTCTCTACTAAAAATACAAAAAAATTAGCCAGACGTGGTGGCGGATGCCTGTAATCCCAGCTACTTGGGAGGCTAAGGCAGGAGAATCGCTTGAACCCGGGAGACGGAGGTTGCAGTGAGTCGAGATTGTACCACTGCACTCCAGCCTGGGCAACAAGAGTGAGACTCCACCTCAAAAAAAAGAAGAAAAGGAAAGAAACAGTCCAAGAGGAAGGTGGCCGAGATCACAGCACATAGGACACTGGCTTCAGGATTCTCTGAGGCCAGATCGGCCTCAGGTGGCCCAACCACACATCACACTTGCCTTGTGGGAAAACGGAATCCTACTTAGGCATGCTGGGGAGGTGGCTACTTAAAGAACACACCTGGCTGGGGGCAGTGGCTCATGCCTGTAATCCCAGCACTTTGGGAAGCCAAAGAGGGTGGATCACGAGGTCAGGAGTTCGAGACCAGCCTGGCCAATATGGTGAAACCCCGTCTCTACTAAAAATACAAAAATTAGCTGGGCGCGGTGGTGGGTGCCTGTAATCCCAGCTACTTGGGAGGCTGAGGCAGGAGAATCGCTTGAACCCAGGAAGTGGGGGTTGCAGTGAGCCGAGATTGTGCCACTGCACTTCAGCCTGGGTGACAGAGCAAGACTCTGTCTCAAAAAAAAAAAAAAAAAAAAAAAACAGAACACGCCTGATATATCTGTCTGCCACTGAAATACGGGAAATGCAAATAAGGATGCCATTATTTTTTGGTTTGTTTGGAGGTTTTTGTGTTCTCCCAAAGAACTGAGCACAGCTTCTGGATATATTTGGGTTTCGTCATGAAATTAAACCTTTATGAAAAGAAAACCTAGTATTTCAAAATCTGGGCTTACTCAAAATATAAATGGGATGGAATCTGCTTCATAAAGGGATTCACCATGAGGGTCTAAATTTAGCCTGATCCCCTGATTCATTCAGCACATTATGAAAATGCTGGATTTTACTGAATGCTTTTCTGCATCTGAGGAGATAACCATATGGTTTTTAATCTGTTGACCTGGTGAATTACATTTCTGTTGAGCCGTTTTTTGATTCCATGGGTAAAAACTCCACTTACTTCTGACATATTATTTTTAATATCCTGAATTTTTTTATTTTTTTTATTTATTTATCTATTTGAGACAGAGTTTCGCTCTTGTTGCCTATTTATTTATTTATTTATTTGAGACAGAGTTTCGCTCTTGTTGCCCAGGCTGGAGTGCAATGGCGTGATCTCGGCTCACTACAACCTCCGCCTCCCGGTTTCAAGAGATTCTCCCGCCTTAGGCTCCCAAGTAGCTGGGATTACTGGTGCTTGCCACCATGCCTAGCTAATTTTTTATATTTTTAGTAGAGACAGGGTTTCACTATGTTGGCCAGGCTGGTCTCGAATTCCTGACCTCAGGTGACCCACCCACCTCCGCCTCCCAAAGTGCTGGGATTACAGGGGTGAGCCACAGCACCCGGCCGAAGTCAATTTATTAATACAGCAGTCCCCCTTATCCACGGTTTTGCTTTCCCCAGTTTCAGCTACCTGCAGTCAACCACGGCCAAAAAAATATTACATGGAAAATTCCAGAAATAATTCATAAGTTTTCAATTTTGTGCCGTCCTGAATAGCATGATGAAATCTTCCACCATCCCACTCTATCCACCCGGGACATGAATTTTCCCTTTGTCCAGCATACCCACGCCCTACACGCTCCCTACCCATCAGTCACTTATCAGCCATCTCAGTGATCGGAGGGACTGTTGCAGTATCTCACCGCCTGTGTTCAAGCCACCCTCATCCTTATCATACTAATAACGGCCCCAAAGTACAAGGCCCATGAGTGAGGCTGGCACTTTGGATATGACAAAGAGAAACTGTTAAGTGCCTCCTTTAAGTCGAAAGGTGAAAGTTCTTAATAAGGAAAGAAAAAAATTCTATGCTAAGGTTGCTGAGATCCATGGTACGGATGAATTTTCTATGTGTGAAATTGTGAAGAAGGAAAAAGAAATTATTGCTAGTTTTGCTGTTGGACCTCAAACTGCAAAAGTTATGCCCACAGTGCATAAATGCTTAGTTAAGGTGAAAAGAGGATGACATGTGTGGGTGAAAGATATAAACAGATGTGTTTCCATTGACGGCAATCAGGTTTGGGACTATCTGACATTTTGGGCATCCACTGGGGGTCTTGGAATATTTCCCCCATGAATATGAGGAGACTACTGTATTTTATTTAGATTTTCACAGCTCTGTTCAAAAGCAACACTGGCCTATTTTTTATTTTCTTGTGCTTCCCTTGCCAGGTTTTGATATCAAGGTGTTATTCCAGTCTTATAAAATTGCTGGGTTGCTTCTCATCTTTTTTTTTTTTTTTTTTTTTTTTTTAAGACGGAGTCTCTCACTCTGTCGCCCAGGCTGGAGTGCGGTGGTACAATCTCGGCTCACTGCAACCTCTGCCTCCCGGGTTCAAGCAATTCTCCTGCCTCAGCCTCCCGAGTAGCTGGGATTACAGGCATGCGCCACCACGCCCAGCTAATTTTTATATTTTTAGTAGAGACGAGGTTTCACCATGTTGGCCAGGCTGGTCTCCAACTCCTGACCTCAAGTGATCCACCCACCTTGGCCTCCCAAAGTGCTGGGATTACAGATGTGAGCCACCACGCCCAGCTTGATCCTTTGAAATAGTTTGTATAATAAAGAGATTTTCTCATTCCTTAAAGGTTTGCTAAAACTAGTCTGTGACATCTCTGGGCCTGCTGTTTTTATAGGAGGATACTTTTGCGTACTAATTCAAATTCTTTAGTGGTGAATGTTTAGGTTTTCTACTCCTTATTGAGTCAATTTTGGAAATTTATATGTTTATATAAAAGCATTCATTAAGCACATTGATACAAAGTTGTTTTTGGTATTCTCTGAAGACTTCATCTTTGTTTCTAACTGCGTCCTCACCTTTACTGCTGTAATACTATTTGTATCTTTTCTTTTCTTTTTTTCTTTTTTTTTTTTTTGAGATGGAGTTTCATTCTTGTTGCCCAGGCTGGATCTCGGCTCACTGCAACCTCCGCCTCCCAGGTTCAAGTGATTCTCCTGCCTCCGCCTCCCGAGTAGCTGGAATTACAGGTGCCCGCCAACTCGCCTGACTAATTTTTTTGTATTTTTAGTAGAGACAGGATTTCACCATGTTGGCCAGGCTGGTCTTGAACTTCTGACCTCAGGTGATCCACCCGCCTCAGCCTCCCAAAGTGCTGGGATTACAGGCGTGAGCCACCACACCTGGCCTGTTTGTATCTTTTCCTTGTTTTCCCTTATCAGTTTTAGCTGGAGGTTTATCGATCTTACTAGTCTTTTGAAAGACTAGTAAGATCTAGTAAGACTGAGTTTTTTCTTTTACCATCTCTATCCTTTTTTATTTTTGCTTCCTATTTCACTAGTCGGTTCTTGTCTTTTTTATTTCCTTCCTTCTATTTTCTTCAGAGTTTTTTCAACTACTCTTTTTCCAGCTTCCTGACCTACATACTTACTCATTTAATCTTTTTTTAAAGTGCATTTAGAACTATACATCTCTCTCTAAATACCACTTCAACTGCAGCCCACACAATTTGATACACAGTATCTTCACTGTCATTTAGTTCTAAATATTTTGTCAGTTCTTTTGTGATTTCCTCTTTAGTCCATTAGTCATTTTTTAAAGTTTTTAACTTTCCAAATATGAGATTTTTTCCCCTCCAGTATTTTAATTGTTGATAATTTGTCTTATATTCAAGGAACACAATCTAAATGATATTATTTGAAATGTGTTGACTTTAATACATGGACTTTTACTTTTTGCCACTCCATGTGAGCTTGAAAAAATGTATTTTTTTCTTTTGCTAAGAGCAAGAATACATGTTAGCCAAGATCAAATTTGTTAACTGTATCTTTCAAGTCTTCCATAGCCTCACAATTTTTTGCCTGCTCAATCCACCGGGTTCTCAGCAATGTTGTCAAAATCTCCCACTATAACTCAGTGTTTATCCACTTCTCCTTCTATTTCTCTCAGTTTTGCTTTTTAAAATTCAAGACGACGTTATTAAGTACAAGTTAATGACTGTTAGATATTCCGGGTGAACAGAGCGTGTTCACGGAACATCAGGGTGATGAAAAACAGAACGTGCCCTCTTTATAATCACACAGGCCAAGGCCTCTGGGGGACCTAGAAAAAGGACTCTTTCCCTGCCCAGTTTCTGAACAAATTCAAAAGCAAACAAACAACAGAGTAAGGTGTTCGGAGTCAAAATCACTCCACCACGTGGGAGCACACGGCTTAGTGTGAAGATGAAACGGGTCTAACTAAATACCAGAATCAGCCCAACTTACCCACCCAGTCACAGGCAGTGCGGGCCAGGGGCAAGCCCCCTCCCATGGAGCTGCTCAGGTGAGACTTAACTGCACAGGAGACCACCCTCAGGGCAGCTCTGTCCAAGAGGAAAAGGGGGAAGGAACACAGCTACACACGTGAGTTCCTGCTCCCAAACACGCCCATCAGGGAGGGTGAAGAGAGCCCGGGTGTTACACCAAAGTATTCCCTCTAGCCACAGGAAACATCAGGAGTGGGGAAGAAGTATTCCAGGTTACAAAGGAGTACATTATCCCTAGTCTTTTTGTCCTGAAATTCTATTTTGTCTGATATTACTATTGCTATACCAACGTTCATGGTACTTTCCCAGCATATCTTTTTCCATTCCTTTATTTTAAATCTTTCCACACCATTTTTCTTTAGGTATGTCTCTTATAAGCAGAATATAGCTATATTTTTAATTCAATTTGATAGGCTGGTATTGTAATAGGCTAATTTAATCTATTTATACTTATTGCAATTACTATCATATTTGAAACTTTTTCTTTTTCTTTTTCTTTTTTTTGAGACGCAGTCTTGCTCTGTCACCTGCTGGAGTAGTATTGTGGCGCAATTTCAGCTCACTGCAACCTCTGCCTCCCAGGTCCAAGTGATTCTCCTGCCTCAGCCTCCTGAGTAGCTGGGAATACAGGCACATGCCACTACGCCCAGCTAATTTTTTGTATTTTTAGTAGAAATGGGGTTTCGCCATGTTGGCCAGGCTAGTCTCAAACTCCTGACCTCAGGTGATCCATCCACCTTGGCTTCCCAAAGTGTGGGGATTACAGGCGTGAGCTACCGTGACTGGCCTGAAATTATTTCTAAACCATCATTTTATATTTTCTGTTCCCTGTGTTTTCTTTCCTTTTTTTCTCTTCCTTTCCTACCTTCAATTGATGTTTTGTTTTTTGCTTTCTTTTTGTTAATCCTCCTTTTATCTCCTACTAATTTGCTATAGACTGTATTTCTGTATCTTCCAATACACCTATTTATATTTTTTTCATCAAACTCTAAGATTGTATTCTCTCTCCTGAGGGGCACAAATAAGCAACAACAGAGTATGCTTTTATCCACTGAACATTTTTTCCTTCCCATTGTCCTTGCTACTTTTGTTTATAAATTTAGTTCAAGCCTCCTTTTAAACATGCAAAAAAAAAAATCCCACTTTTTACCATCAGTAATTAAATTTATCAACATATTTTATCTATTTCTTGTCACTTTCTAATTAAATCTTTTCTGGTTTTTCTTTTCTTTTGACTGAAGTGTATCCTTCAGTAATTCTTTCAGAAAGAGCCCGAGTGGGACATTCCCTCCATTTTTTTATGTCTGAAAGCAGTTTTATTTTGTCTTTGGCTTTTCTAGGTATAGAATTTTAGGTTGAGGGTTATTTTCCTTCTTTTTTTTTTTTGAGATGGAATCTCGCTCTTTCGCCCAGGCCAGAGTGCAGTGGCGCTATCTCGGCTCACTACAAGCTCCGCCTCCTGGGTTCACGCCATTCTCCTGCCTCAGCCTCCCAAGTAGCTGGGACTACAGGCGCCTGCCACTGCGCCCAGCTAATTTTTTTTTTTTTTGTATTTTTAGTAGAGACAGGGTTTCACCGTATTAGCCAGGATGGTCTCGATCTCCTGACCTCGTGATCCGCCCGCCTTGGCCTCCCAAGGTGCTGGGATTACAGGCATGAGACACCACGCCCGGCCCCTTCTTTCTTTTTTTAAACACTTGAAAGATATTGCCCCATTGTCTTTAACAACTATCATGGATAGGGAGAAATCTATTTTCATCCTAGTTCTCATTAGATCATAGATTATCTTGTCTGTATCCTCAGACAGCTTTTAAAATTCTTTTAAATTTTTAAAATCTTTTATTTCTGATGTTTCACTTCAGCATGTCTAGAAGTATTGTTTTGTTTTTAAATCACTTTCAGCAGCACGGTGTGTGGTTTCTTCAATTCTGAAACATTCTCATCTAATATTTTTGTGGATATTTGTTCACTAGTTTATTCTTTCCTTCCGGAACGTCTTTATGACACATGCTGGGGCCTCCCAGTCTATTATCCACATATCTTCTTTTTCATATACTTCATCTCTTGATCTGTGCTGTGTTCTGGAGGAATTCCTTGGGTCTATCTTCCAATTCATAAATTCATTATTTAAACAGACTAGATTTTATCCCATGTTGTTGTTTATTTCTACAATTATTTCTTGAGTTCCAACAATTTTACTGTTTTCCTTTTGTTTGTTGAGAAGGATTCTTGCTCTTGTGACCCAGGCTGGAGTGCAGTGGTGTGATCTCGGCTCACTGCAACCTCCACTTCTCAGGTTCAAGGGATTCTCCTGCCTCAGCCTCCTGTGTAACTGGGATTACAGGCACCCACCACCACGCCTGGCTAGTTTTTGTATTTTTAGTAGAGACAGGGTTTCGCCACATTGGCCAGCCTGGTCTCGAACTCCTGACCTCAGGTGATCCACCTGCCTTGGCCACCCAAAGTGCTGGGATTACAGGAGTGAGCCACCACGCCCGGCGCCAGAGTGATCATTCTACTGTGCAAATCTGATCATGACCTTCTCCCTTCAGTACCTCTCCTATGACTCTTAGGATAAAATCTGAGCTCCTAAACATCACTGGTACAGGATCTAGCCTTTTCTTACTTCTCTAGCATCATTTATCAACCCTACACACACTCAGACACACCCTCCACATTGCCTTCAGTTCTCCCTCACCACCTACGTCTCCCATCAGCCTCACTAGCCTATAATGATCCCTGTCCCTAAGAAGAAGATGATGAGTAAGACCGAGAACAGAAACAAGAATCTCTAAAACGCAGTGCATTTGGACTGAATGCCTTCTATGGGCAAGTAGCAAGAACTCATTCCTCACAGTATCTCTACAACCAGACAAAGTCCGGCATATATTAAGCCTTGGGTAAACAAACACTGAATGAATTTCCTAATATTAACCATCCTGCATTGGTAAAATAACTCTTTCTTGGCTATAGTGAATTACTCTTATTAGTCTATTTAGATTTGAGTTTCTGGGGCTGCTATTTTATTTACAACATTGATTTCTACATTCGTAAGGAATATTGGCCCCTACCCTTTTTTTGCATCTCATTTGACTGATTTTATTCAAAAAGATCCTTTTTTTTTTTTTTTTTTTTTGAGAAGGACTTTCACTCTTGTCACCCAGGCTGTAGTGCAATGGCACAAGCTCGGCTCACTGCAATTACAGGTGTGCACCACCACGCCCAGCTAATTTTTTTGTATTATTAGTAGAGACAGGGTTTCACCATGTTGGCCAGGCTCATTTCAGGTTTCACTCATGTTGGTCGTGAACTCCTGACCTCAGGTGATCCACTCGCCTTGGCCTCCCAAAGTGCTGGGATTACAGGCGTGAGCCACCGTGCCCAGCCCATAAAGCTCTTTTAAGCATTATTAATTGGGAAGCTTTCCATATTTTTTTTTCTTTTCTCTTGAACAGTTTAAATAACATAAAATCTGCTCCTTTAAAGTTTAAAACACCTTCCTGCAAGACCATCTAGATCTAGAAACATTTGAAGAGATAATTCTTTGAGAACTTTTTCAATTTCTTCCACAGTTACCGGTTTGTTCAGGTTTCTTTTTTACCTCATCTTAAGTTACATTTGGCATACTTTCCTAGAAAGGCATCTGTTTCAAATAAAATTTCAAATAAAATTAGAAACAGAAGCAATTTAATAGCATGAGTTGAACACAGCATCCATTAGTAATCATTTAATCTTCTTCACATCTGTGGTCATGCATCTTTTTATGACTAATTTTGTATATTCTTATTTTCTCTTCTCATCTATATTCGACTAGCTAGTTACCTATCTTATTGCTTCTTCCAAAAGAAACCTAGGTTTATCAAGTCTCAAATTATTTTTATTTCTAGTTTATTTATTTCTGCTTTAATCTTTGTGAATTCCTTCCTCTGGCTTTCTTTAGGTAACAATATTGATAATAATAATAGCCACCATTACTGAGCAGCTGCAGCATGTAAGGTCCTCACTCACCAGGACATGTAAGCACTCAATAATTTCAAGGTACATGCTACCATCATCATTTCACAGATGAGGAAAATGAGACACAGAGAAGTTGCTAACAATAATAACAACTTGCAAATATCACTCTTATTTTTATTTTACTGTATTATTATTATTTTTATTTTTGTAAAGATGAGGTCCATTCTATTGTTCAGGCTGGTCTCGAACTCCTGGGCTCAAGTGACCCTCCTGCCTCAGCCGCCCAAAACGCTGGGATTACAGGCATGAGCCAACACACCTGCCAGTTCTTTTTCTTATTTAATAGGAAACCATTTAAGGTAATAAATTTTTTTCTAAGTATTGCTTTGAATACAACCCATAGGTTTTATGTATAGTATTATAAATGTCATTACTTTATAAATATTCTGTAACTGCAGCTTCTATTCCCTTTGGCCTAAAAGCTACTTAAGAAAGTATTGGGATTGTTTACTTCTCAGTGGTTTAGTGGTTTTTTTAAATCATTATTTTGTTATTAATTGCTAGTTTTATCATCAAATTGTAAGTGAATACATCCAGCAGAGAGCTTGCTCTCTGAAATGTATTTAGTTTTACTTTGTGGTTCAGAAGTTCCTAATTATAGCTGCTATCGATAATTACCTACAAGTAAGTTAGTTACATAGGTCGACTGATTGATGGATTGATTGATTTAGTTTATTTATTTAAAAACAGGGTCTTGTTCTGTCACCCAGGCTGTAGTGCAGTGGCACAATCATGGCTCATTGTAGCCTCGACCTCCCAGGCTCAAGCAATCCTCCTGCCTCAGCCTCCTGAGTAGCTGGGACCACAGGTGTGTGCCACTTCACCCAGCTAATTTTTTTTTTAAGAGATGGGGTCACCCTGTGTTGCCCAGGCTGGTCTTGAACTCCTGGGCTCAAGTGATCCTCCCGCCTCAGCCTCCCAAAGTGCTAGGATTATAGGCATGAGCCACTGTGCCTAGCCAAGATTTTAAAAAATAGAATCTTAAATAACAGCCCAATTTAAAAAGAAGCAAAGCTTATAAACTGTTCATAGCAAATAAATAGAGGCAGTTCTTAAATATATGAAGAGATGTCCAACATGATTCATATTAAGATTATAAATTTAAACAACACTAAATACTATTCTCATCTATCAGACGGGCAAAAATCCAAGTGTTTGACAATACATTCTACTGAAGAGGCTTTGGAATAAGAAGCACTTTGATACATTACTGGTGAAAGTTGGAATTTACACAGCCCCTACAGAGGGCAATTTAACGTTATCTATCAAAATACAAATGCATTTATGTTTTAACCTAGCTATCTCATCTGAGAAACTATCATAATCCATAAAAACTGAGTCTGCACAAGGTTATTCATTTAATCATTATTGTGTTACCAAAATATTGGCAATGGTCATTAACAAGGGACGTATTATTATTATTTTTTTTTTTTTTTTTTTTTTTGAGACAGAGTCTCACTCTGTCGCCCAGGCCGAAGTGCAGTGGCGCCAAATCGGCTCACTGCAACCTGCGCATCCCGGGTTCAAGTGATTCTCCTGCCTCAGCCTCCCGAGTAGCTAGGGTTACAGGTGCATGTCACCACGCCCGGCTAATTTTTGTATTTTTAGTAGAGACAGGGTTTTGCCATGTTAGCCAGGCTGGTCTTAAACTCCTGACCTCAGGTGAGCCATCTGCTTTGGCCTCCCAAAGTGCTGAGATTACAGGCGTGAACCACGATGCCCGGCCCAGGGGATGTATTAAATAAATTATTTCACATCCATGCAATGGAATACCATCCAGCAGTAAAATAAATTAAGACATTCTCTATATGCTAATACGGAAAAATCTCTAAGATACATTGTTAAGAGAAGCAAGTTACAGAATTCTACAGAATCCTGTGGAAATAAGGAAGGAAATAAGAATATATATATTTAGGCCAGACGCGGTGACTCACGCCTGTAATCCCAGCACTTTGGGAGGCAGAGGAGGGCAGATCACCTGAGGTCAGGAGTTCGGGACAAGCCTGGCCAACACAGCGAAACCCCATCTCTACTGAAAATACAAAAAAATTAGCCAGGTGTGGTGGCATGAGCCTGTAGTCCCAGCTACTTGGGAGGCTGAGGCAGGACAATTGCTTGAACCTGGGAGTTGCAGGTTGCAATAAACCAAGATTGCACCACTGCACTCCAACCTGGGCAACAGAGCAAGACTCCATCTCAAAAAAAAAAAAAAAAAAAAAAAGAATATATATATTTACACATCTTTACATATCTTATTTATTTATTTATTGTGTGTGTGTGTGTGTTTCAAATGGTTGGGTTGGAGCCTAGAAGTCTAGGTTTTGGTTTTTGTTTGTTGGGCTTTTTTGTTTGTTTTTGCTTTGTTTTACTTTGTTTTAAAGATCCAAAATGATTCTGATGTAGCAGGTCCACAGAAAACCACTGATCTACTATGCAATCAATTTGTGTAAATATTCCAAAGGCAATTGAAAAGAAGTAAAATCTGTTAGAGGATCAAAGTCTGATAGTTAGATACAGAAACAGATATATATATATATAGATAGATAGATAGATAAAGAAAAATATGTATATAATTGATATTGAGATGAATAAATGTCATTTCTAACCCTAGTATTGATATGTCAAGTGATGTGTGTTAAAAATCTACCATTACAATTGTATTCTGTGAATTTTTCCATAATCATTACATACATGTGTACATATACATATACTATAATATATACTACTGACAATATAAAATATCATTATTGATTTTACCTTTTATGAAAAGATGGATAATAGCCCTCTTTATCACACTGATTGCTTTTTTGCCTTGAATTCTACTTTTCTATATTAATATTGCCAATCCCGCTTTCTTTTTGTATTTGACTTTTCTAATTTTTTTCTTAACAATTTTCAAATATTCTGAGTTACTTTCTTTAATAAAATATAGATCAATTTGTGTAGGTTTTTTGGAGAGATGACCCAAATCGAGAATCTTTGTTAACAATCGAATTTAAGTCATTTATATTTATTATCATCACATATGTACGCACACTTCTATCATATTTCTTTATTATTCCTTTGTTTTCTTTTTCTACAGACAAAGTGTGTTTTCTTTGTCTTCTCTTACTATTTGGAATGCTTCCATTCTACTACTAGTAACTTTATATCTATGAAATACTAAATTTTCATCAAAGTACATCCAGCAATTAGTTTCCTTTCATTGATTTTGTCTGTTAATGGGTGAGTCATTTTGATTTTCAGATTTAAGTCTTCAATCAGCTTGACAACATCAATTATCCATATGTGTAATTCCTGCTCACTACCCTCCATATTCATCATCATCTCACTCATCATTTTAAAGTTGTGTTTCCTTTGAATTATGTGAGAGTTTCTTAAGCTTGTTCCCCATATTAATAACTGGATTTTCTACAAAGTAGATTCTGCTTTGTACTGTTTCATATACTATTTAAAATTCTTTTTGTCCATTTTTATTTTATTATCTCCCTAACTTAACCAGCAACTGTTTCCTCCCATTCTGTTGGCTCACTCTATCTTTTCTTTCTTAGTGTGTATTTTTTCTAGAGGTTTGTGGAAAATTCAAAGTTAATAAATCTCTCAAATTCACCTGGCTTTCTGTAAAAGTAAATACTTTTCAAAACTCTGTTATTCTCTAACTAGTTTATGCTTTTTTAGAGGCAGAATCTCTTCTTTTACAAACCCATAAAACTTCTTCTTCTTTATATCCAAACTTGAAACAGAAGAAATCTACACAGGCTCATTGTCTCCAAACTGTGGGTAGATTCTTCTTGGCTACTCTCATGGCACACACAGGCTGTTAGAATACTTAGATCTTAGACTGGAGAGCTGCTTGTTATAAATTTGGGACATCCGTTAAAAAATCCAGAAGCCTATGGGGAATGAGGAAGAAGTTTGGACAGTAGTCACCGCCAGCAGGGGAATTTCATCTCTGGATAATTTCTTCTTTGTGTCTGGCAAAGCTGCTAAACCGTGGAGCCAATTTCTTATGTCTGGTTTCCAATTTGGCCTGGCAATCACTCCAAGTACATGATGTGACTGCCCAACTTCCGAGCTGGGGTACGGCTTCTCGTCACCACCCTACCTACTAGCTTTCCATCTGGGAGAGCCACATTTGAGCTTGCTGGGCTTCCTGGGGCATTGATTTCAATGCTGTTGACCCACAACAACAAAAATAATTCTATGTGGAAAGATCCCTGTCTATTCCAGGGCTCACTCTCACTCCTAAAGAGGACAGGATTCTTCTAGATCTCCAACTTCATATATTCCCATACGACATTGCTTTTTGTTGTTGTCGTCGTTGTTGTTGTCATCGTTGTTGTTGTTGAGACAGAGTCTCACTCTGTCGCCCAGGCTGGAGTGCAGTGGTGCGATCCTTGCTCACTGCAACCTCTGCTTCCTGGGTTCAGGTGATTCTCCTGCCTCAGCCTCCTGAGTAGCTGGGACTACAGGCACCCGCCACCACGCCCAGCTAATTTTTTTTTGTATTTTTAGTAGAGACGGGGTTTCACCGTGTTAGCCAGGATGGTCTCGATCTCCTGACCTCGTGATCCACCCGCCTTGACCTCCCAAAGTCCTGGGATTACAGGCGTGAGCCACCGTGCCTGGCCACAACACTGCTTTCTAAGGAAGAGAATCTGGGGTTCAACTCTCAATATTCACCTACTTTTAGTCCTAACTGCCCCCATAGATTACAAAACAAAAACAAAAAACCATCAAAGTGCGTGTTGCGTGCCCGGCATTTTTCTTAGCTTTCAGCCCCGAAGCAGCATTTCCAGTCCTAATGGAGGATACAGTATTAGAAAAAGGGGGTTAGATCTTTGTATTCCATTGTCATCTTATTCAAAAATGCTACCCAGTCTCGGTCTGATTTTTATTAAGGTAGCAATTTTCTTCACAGAGGTTCACCTAGCTGGAAATCCTATTTGGAGATGGAGATCCAGGTATTAACCTCTCAGAAAATTGGCTCTTGCTATTTAATTGACTCTTCTATGCCTTGCAAATATGATTTCCAGCCAAGTGAACCTCTGTAGAGAAAATTGCTTCCTTTCTTGATAAGAAACAAACTAAGATTGGATGGGTGCTGACGACATCCTGAAACCACGGACCCCCACCTTTCCCAAAGTGGGGTTATATGTCCTTATTCCCTCCAATATTTATCTCAAAATTTGGGCAGGAAAAAAAAATGTG
Source organism: Homo sapiens (assembly GCF_000001405.40). Classification (NCBI taxonomy): domain Eukaryota; kingdom Metazoa; phylum Chordata; class Mammalia; order Primates; family Hominidae; genus Homo; species Homo sapiens. The sequence continues at coordinate 2,966,506 of NC_000017.11, read as the reverse complement.
ATTGCTCTTTTCCAAATACCTTTATGAATCTTCAATTAGACTCCACAAATAAGGATTGAGAGCCTGACAGGTTCACAGCATTCTGCTAAGCACCACCCAACCAGGGACAGAGATAAATAAGACACAGATTCCTTCGTGCCCCCATAGCAACCTGTGCATATTGCTAAAATCATACCCGTGACACACATTAAATTCATGAAACCATATGCCTTTCAGAGAACAGGGACCAAGTCTCAGCCATCATGGTATCTCTAACACCTATCGCAGTTCCTGGTACAGAGGAGGTTTTACAAAACATGTTAGCTAAACCAAACAGAAACCAGTTCCAGCTCCTGCCCTTGAGAAGGTCACAATCCAGAGAGAGGTGCCCTGGCTTCCGCTATAAATCAGTGCTCCTGTTGTGAACATCAGTGCATCTCAGGGAACCCAGCCCATACAACAAACACACAGGGCACTATCTTTCCTGGCAAGATGTATACCACAGGCAGCACTCTGGCGAACCCTCTCCCAGGACTCGGAGCTGTGTCTCAGCAGGATGAGTCACACTGAACCATCCCTACTTTTCTTCCCGTCTTCCTCAGAGCCATGGACTTGTAAGAAAGAGGGGCAGGAAGGGGTACAGTCTGGGTGACCTTGAGACCTGGATGCCCCTCTGACTGTCAGCTAACTGGTGGAGCGCGTGGGTCTCCCTGCTAGGCAACTTCAGACACAGCCCCAGGATTCCAGCAGGCCTGTCCCCGTCAGCCAGTGCACCCAGACCAGACTGGTCAGTCTGGTATTTCTGAGTCCCATCCCAGCCCCCACACCACCGATGAGAGCCCTGCCTGGAAGAGAAGTGGCCTCAAGCAGCGCAACAGCCCTACCTAAGGATGACCCGGAGGTACTCGATCCCCTCTGCTTCCTCGCACTTGACGGACAGGATCAAGTTCCCCAGGCTGCTGCCGGTACAGTAAAAGTTTAGATGATCCTAAAAAAAGAAACTGAGTGTGAGCAGGAAGGAGGAAGAAACCTTCCAGGTATGTTCCCCCTAAACCACCTCCTTCACCAGGAGAAGCCCCACAGCAACAAGGAAGAGAAGGATGCTACTGATGACAATGACAACGACATTAACAGGTACCGACGGCCGGATCCTCAGGAGGCGCCAGGCACCGTGCCAGGGGCTTAATACCCACTATCTCCTTCAGTCCTGACCACAGCTGTATCCGGGAGAGAACATCATCCCCATTTCACAGATGGGAAAACCAATGGTCGGGGGGTTAAGTCACTGCCCAGGATGACACGATGAGTAAGGGACAGATCCAGGGTTCAAACGCACAGCTGTCTTGACTCTGAAGGGCAAGTTCTTAACCACAAGATACCGAGTCCACATTCTCATTCCCATGGGGCGGCCCTCACCAGTTCACACTATCTGGGGCAAGACAGCAAGGAGGAACCCTGGCACCTCCACCCAGGGGAGCTGGGAGGTGTCCTGAGCCAGTGGGTCACTCCCTGGCTCGGGGAACACGGGCGAAAAACACAGCTCCCCAGACCTGCTGGATCAGACTGAGGCCCTGGAATCTGCATGCTAACAAGACCCAGGGGCTCTGAGGCAGCCTCCCGTCACGTGAGACTCTGCAAAGCGGCCTCAGGCTACAGATTTCCGGAATCTGCCCTCAGTACATCAAGAACCTGGTAAATCTGAAGGGCAGAATCTATTCTTTTAAATTTAACTTTGTCACTTTTAAGCAATCAGAGGCTCGCAGACACTATGCAGTACAAGCACTCAGAGGATCTGCCTGAATGAGGACGGAGAGATTTGCGTGATTTAGATGGAAACAGAGACTTCTTGAGGTGTGAGAACACATTTTTCCTCGAACAGTCAAAACTCCAGCCACCGTCCTTCACCCCAAACACTACCCATTCCATCGCCTCCCGAAACATTTGCGGGGGGTGGTCCCCACAAGGACTCATGGCACTGGGCCTCCCTGATTGTTACATGGCTCCCCTGCCCCGTCCCCTATCCCAGGACAGAGGCCCTCAGACCTCTCCAACTAAGACAGCAGCAGGCAGCAACAAAAGGACAGACTAGGAAGGAGGTAAGAGGCCAAGGAAAAGGGGGGCACTCTGCCCTACCCCCACCCCCGCCAGCTCCTCTCCCCCAGGGCCCCCAGCCCCTCCCCCCACCCCCGCCAGCTCCTCTGTCCCCCAAGCCTCCCCCAGCCTCACCCCCACCCCCCGCAGCTCCTCTCCCACAGCCTCCCCCAGCCTCACCCCCATCCCCGGCAGCTCCTCTCCCACAGCCTCTCCCAGCCTCACCCCCACCCCTGGCAGCTCCTCTCCCACAGCCTCCCACAGCCTCCCTCAACCTCTCCCCATCCCCTACCGCCTGGTACCTCCTCTCTCCCAGCGTCCCCAGCCTCTGCCCCCAACCCCCAGCAGCTCCTCTCCCCCAGCCTCACCTTCCCCAGGAAGTGCCTCCGGTAGGCCCTGGCTTCACCCTTGCACTCGAGCTTGTAGCCAAATGTGTTGGGGCTGAGGTTGTCCTCTTCCTCCTCCTCACAGATGCTGCTCCCCAGCGATGTTGGGGTGCCCACGTTCTCCGGGTCCTCGATCCAATAGCCCCCAAACTGTGGCAGGATGACCTGAGGGTACGGGCCTCCCTTCTCCACAACCTGAAGGCAGAGGGAGGGTCGTGCGCTCCCCTGGGACCGCAGGGGAGGGAGGGGGCCGGTGGCGGTGTCCCCTCTGCGCTGCTCCCAGGAGTGGGGCCTGGTACCCACTGGTACTTGAGGCCAAAGGCAGTGACATGAACCCCTCCTCCAAGCCCCACAACACCTCCAGCTTCATTCGCCAACCCTGTAGCCCCAGGGCTGAAAGGCCTAGATGAGCACCCCCAACTTAACACATGGAGAAGCTGAGGTTACAAAGGCAAAGACAGGAAGAGAGGTCCCAGGCCCAAGGTTCTCTCCCCTGGGGGGCTGGGCACAGGCCATCGCCATCATTTCCCCAGGGACGGGACCCAGAGCAGGCTGCAGGGCAGGTGGGAGTGAGGGGAGGGCACCTACCTCGTCGATGCTGGGGTATGGGATATAGTCGTCCTGCAAGACAAACCAGATGATGCCACCGTTAGTCCCGGCAGTGCCCGTAAAGTCTGACCACTGTTTCCAGGTCTTGCAAGGGGGATATGTTGTGGGGGGGCTTTGAGGGAGGAACATTCGATGGAAGAACAGCTCAGAATCAGCTCTGGAATCTAACATCCCCCATGTTCTTCTCCAAACTGACAGAACCCAAACATAAACCCTGCCAGCTGATGATGCAGTGTCCGAAGGTGCTGAACTTCTCACCCCTCGTGATACCAGCTTCTCATCCTAGAACGCTCATTCCGGAAAATGACCCCTAGTCTCCCCCAGCACCCCTTTCCAGGCAGGCGGACTGACCTCCAAGTGATAAGCGGCACCCCTGGGTTGGGAAGCTGAGAGCTGACTGCCCACTGGAACCCGGGGCACAGAGCCTGACACCCTTACACACTGCACAGGGTAGGGAAGAGCCGGGCCAAACGGCCAAGCCTGAGGTCCCACCGAGGCCTCCACCCCCAGCCTGCTCTGAAGCTGTCCTAAGGCATCAAGCCAGGACCCCTCTGCTGCCCACCGTGCACTGGTCTAACAAGGCAGTCGTGAAGCGGCCCGTGGTGCGAGTCAGAGTTAGACAGGTGTGAGACAGAAGACCCCAGCATCCCGGCAGCCCCTCCTGCCTTCCTCTCGCCCTAGCCCCTCACCAGGGCCGTCTGGCCACCCCCTCACCCACCCAGCCCACCTTGTTCTTCTGGGGTCCCGGCTTCTGCTCTTCAAGCTTGATCCCCTATAGAAACAAGGAAAACAGGATCCACAGAAAAGCAAAGGTCAGAAGACAGGGCCAGATAAAGAGCACCTGGCCTTACAGGGGGTTAGTAACAGGAGCAGCAGCAAAAGCTGGCCCGTGCTGGGCCTGCACACATCACACCTGGCCAGGGGCGGGCCTCACAGCAGCCTCAGGTGAGGCAACAGCGCCGCTGGGCTAACAGCATAGACTTGAGCCAGATCGCCGGGGTTCAAATCCCAACACTGCCACCTATCAGCCTGATGACCTTGGCAAGTCACAGAAACCTCTCTGTGACTCAATGTTCTCATCTGTAAAATGGGAATGATGATGGCATCGACTATGGTGGTGAAGGTTAAAGGTTAACAATGGGTTGAGCACTTGGAACACTGACTGGTATATAATAAATGCTGTGGGTCATTATCATCATGAAGGAGGCGGTATTATCATTCAAAGCTTAAATAGCTGTCTTGTCGGACACAGTGGCTCACGCCTGTAATCGCAGCACTTTGGGAGGCCAAGACGGGCAGATTACCTGAGGTCAGGAGCTCAGGACCAGCCTGACCAACATGGAGAAACCCTGTCTCTACTAAAAATACAAAATTAGCTGGGCGTGGTGGCGCATGCCTGTAATCCCAGCTACTCAGGAGGCTGAGGCGGTAGAATTGCTTGAACCCGGGAGGCAGAGGTTGCAGTGAGCCGAGATCGCGCCATTGCACTTCAGCCTGGGCAACAAGAGCGAAACTCCGTCTCAAATTAAAAAAAAAAAAAAAAAAAAAAAATCCTTAGGGTCACAGAGCCAGTAAGGGAAGGGAAACATAGGAAGTCATGCCTGTTGGTGTCGGAGCCAGCGCTCTAGAGCCCACGCCAACAGGCCTTCAAGGGACAGGCAGGAGGCCTGGTGCTGGCCCTCATTCTGCTGCGAACTTACTATTTGTGACCCTTGACAAAGCGTAGCTTCTTGGAGCCCCCAGTGTCATCTGTAAAATGAGGATTAGACGCTCACCTTTCATCTCACTAATGGAAGGATGACTGCAAGGATCAGATATGATGCCTGGGACTGGACTAAGGGAGTTTATCTACAGGTATCTGAAGAATTCACTTCTGGGGAGCAGTGCCCTGTCCAACAGTTTTGTTTGTTTGTTTGTTTTTGTTTTTGAGACGGAGTCTCTCTCTATTGCCCAGGCTGGAGTGCAGTGGTATGATCTCGGCTTACTGCAACCTCCACCTCCCAGGTTCAAGCAATTCTCCTGCCTCGGCCTCCCGAGTAGCTGAGATTACAGGCATGTACCACCACGCCCAGCTAATGTTTGTATTTTTAGTAGAGACGAGGTTTCACCATGTTGGCCAGGCTGGTCTCGAACTCCTGACCTCAGGTGATCCACCCGCCTTGGCTTCCCAAAGTGCTGGGATTATAGGCGTGAGCCACTGCACCCAGCCTCTTCTTTTTTTTTTGAGATGGAGTTTCATTCTTGTTGCCCAGGCTGGAGTGCAGTGGTGGGATCTCGGTTCACTGCAACCTCCACCTCCCGCGTTCAAGTGATTCTCCTGCCTCAGCCTCCCAAGTAACTGGGATTACAGGCATGTGCCACCATGCCCAGCTAGTTTTTTGCATTTTTAGTAGAGATGGGGTTTCACCATGTTGCCCAGGCTGGTCTTGAACTCCCAACCTCAGGTGATCCACCCGCCTCAGCCTCCCAAAGTGCTGGGATTACAGGCGTGAGCCACTGCGCCTGGCCCTGGTCCAGCAGTTCTATCACTGAGTTCTGACTTAACCGTGTTGTGCAGGAGGGGAACACGTGGTGTTTCCAAGACTATCTGAGAAAATCGGGTGACAGTATGAGACGGTACACAAACTAGAAGAAACAGGTCCCCTCTGAAGCAGAAGGAGTCCAGAAGCAGCGTCTGCCTGGTCACAACACTAATGCACAGGGATTTTGACCTTCCCAAGCTAGCTCTCTCTGTGGCCTCCTTTGAAACTCACAGCACTTTCCACCAGCGAGGACACTGGGGCCCCAGAAGGAGGCTGCTTGCCTAAGGTCACACAGCCAGTGAGTGGCAGGGCCTAGATTTGAAGCCGGGTCACCGGCTCACCAAGCGCGTGACGTACCCCACACTCTGTGGACAGCAGGGCTCCTGTTAACTGGGTGGATTGACATGCAGCCTCTGCGGACTTCCCTGGGCTGAGTCGCCTTGCAGCATTGTTCAGGAGGGCGTGGGAGGGCCGTTCCCACTGAACAGGCGCTCCCCTCACACACACACAAAGCCACCTGGGTGGCCCTACAGACCCTGTCCCAGCTGGCAAACTGGGCAGATGGCGGGTGGGGGCAGTGAGGGCAGGAGTCTGTTTTGTTTGGCCTGCATTAGTCATCCCTGTCTGGGAACAGCCCCGAGGGCAGGAGAGCAAACTTCCTCCCATCCCCTCCCCACGCCACTCCCTCCCCTAATAACCTACCGCAGAGCCACTGCCCAGCACGGGGCCCTCTCTCCTCCATGTGCTATTTTGCTAGAGGTATTGTCTTTTTTTGTTGTTTTTTTTTTTTTTTTTTGAGATGGAGTCTTGCTCTGCCATCCAGGCTGAATGCAGTGGCGCAATCTCGGCTCACTGCAGCCTCCACCTCCCGGGTTCAAGAGATTCCCCTGCCTCAGCCTCCCAAGTAGCTGGGATTACAGGCGTGTGCCACCACACCCAGCTAATTTTTCTATTTTTAGTAGAGACAGGGTTTCACCAGGTTGGCCAGGCTGGTCTCGAACTCCTGACCTCAGGCGATCCACCTGCCTCGACCTCCCAAGTGCTGGGATGACAGGTGTGAGACACCGCAACTGGCCACAATGGGTATTATCTTTATTTCCCCTTCTCCCCTCAGTGAAGAAATTAAGGCTCAGAAGGGGAAACCGACTTGACTGAAGATACTCAGCTAGAAAGCGTCAGGGTTAGAACCTGAACCCAGGACTGAAGGAATCCAAAGCTTCTGCCTTCTCCCAGTTCCCAGACTCTTGGGCTAGGTATCGGGAATCCCGGATTCCAGTTTCAGCTCTTCACAACTAGCTAAGTGACCCGGGCGCTTCACTGCTCTGAGCTTCAGTTTCCACACGTGCAAGATGAAGAGAGATGGAGCCCAGGCTCAAGGCCCACGCGGGCACTCCATGGCCAGCAGTGCCCCATACGTGAGCTTCTTACTAAGAGTGAACCCTCTGAGGCTGGGCCCAGGGGGCACATGGTAGGGACTTAAACACCCAGAAATTTGGCTTCAACAGTCTCAACTGAAAGGGAACAGGCACGCTACCCAGGGGGATCAGCCATTGCACAGACAGAGGGAGAATAAAACAAGACCCCTACCCTAGAAAGCACCCGATCTACATGAACAGACAAGCCCTGCAGCCTCTACACAACACAACACTCTGAGGCTGGTTAACTGGGGCTGAATGCTGTGCTCAGAGAGACCCTGTGTGGGGCAAAGTTGTGGGAAGGGGACTCCAGCTGGGGGAGAAGGAAGAGAGGATCTGAGGAGCAACCGGAGAGAAGGCTGGGTGGGCTGCAAACCCCCTGCCAGCTTCCCAGAGTGCCAGGATCCCACTGACTAGAGGCGAAAATCCCAGCTTTGCTCCAAGCAATGGAGCACTTGATTATATACCATCTCCCACCCCTCACTGTGAGGCACATGCCAGCCTGGTTTCCGCAAGCTGATGATAAGTTCCCTAAATGCGTAGAAGATGAGTCTGTCATCTACACGCTGCTGGGCGCAGAGGACAATTTTAATAACTGGCTCTCGGTGACACGGCAGTAACAATACTTTCCCTTCAAACAGCGTCTCCCCTCCCTCCCCACCCTCAGGGACACCTGGCTGCTTGGCCCACATCTCAGGACTGCCGTGGGTGCTGTATTTGCCCCTCCTCCTAGGACTTCCAGACCATTATTGCAGAATCTTCCTCCCTTGAGCCTGGAGCACCTACTTATGGTAAAAAGCATCATGACATAATGGCTGGACTCTCTGGCTCTGAAGCTACTTATGAGCCACGCACCCTTTGAGTGCTGCCTTTAATTGTTCTGTGCCTCGATTTTCTCACCTGTCCTATGGGGATAATAATAATAATAATATGCCTACTTCTGAAGGCCTTAGCAGGAAGAAATGACGCCTGTCAATCTCTGAGCCCAGTGAAGTGCTTGAGCTACAGGTGTATTATCAGCATTGTCTTCCCAGTCTTCCCGCCCACGTCAATGAACCCTGCCGGGCCTCTGCACATACTCCCCAGGGCAGCAGCTCTTACCTGGGAGCCCTGACCCTGGTGAGGAACAACGAAGAACCCCCAAACCCACATCACACACCAACTTTTATGTAGTGTCTACCAAGTATTTACACCGATTATCTCATTTCACCCCAACCACCATGTAAGTGGGTGCATTCATTCTTATTTATTTATGGAGGCTTAGCACAGGAAAGGAACTGGTGCTAGTAAGTGTCTGGTGCAGGACTTGAACACAAGCCAGCCTCCCACCCCACCCCTCTGCCTCCCTATGCAAGATGACTCCTCCAAGAAGCAGCTAGTTCTTTCAGGCCTTCTTTCCAGCTCGTGCTAGGAACAATGGACCCTTCAAACCCTCCTCCACATCCACAGGGCTTATGGCCTCCCCAGCTGCCCTGCTGGGGAAGTTCTGCTTTTATCCTCCCTGTCCCTCCGCAGGAGTCTTCCCAAAGTGCTCCGTACCCCTCAACAGCAAAATGGCCTCAGGTTGTCTGGGCCAAGGGGATGCAATTGTCTCTTCTCTGCACCCCCGTCCAGGGCACCCGGCTTCTGCCCGTGGGTTCTGCCTGGTCCCTATGCCACCCACATCTGGGGCTGGGCTTCTTCCCCGCCACGGTGGGGGTACGTACTCACCTGCATTTTCTCCAGCATCTCAAAGAACTCCGACGACTGAAAGACAAAAGCAGGGGGACAGAAAGACAGGGATCAGCCGGGAGGTCCACAGCAAAAGCCTCTTCCTCACCAACTATCAGGAAGCTGAGCCTGGGGCTTCCCCAGGGACAAAATTCATTTGGATCAACAGAGAAGATAATTTGATTTTGCCTTTGCAGGGCTAGAGGGCCAAACACCCCATACAACAGGAGAGAGGCTAAGGCACACCTGGGCTGGCAAATGAATGGTGCTGGGGGAGCAGACACTCAGCCTCTGTCAAGGAAAGGGGCCTGCCGGCCCCTGGGAAGAGCCAAATTCTGCAAACGCCTATCGTCCTCGGCATTCAGCCTCCGGCAGGAGCCATATTTAGGATGTTTTCAACCCAACAGTGGGGCCAAGGTGTCCAACACAAGCGGCGTTCCACACCCTGATACAGAAAACCAACCGGTGAAAGCAGGGTCGCTGTGGCCACAGCAGCCAGGGAAGGAGGGGGAGGGCCCGCTATGCCACCTCTGCCTCTGCCTGCCCGGTCCCCTGCCCACAAGGCACCACTCTGGCACCCTAAAGCTGGTGAAGCAAAGCCTGAACACCATTGAACCGAGGCCTCCAGGGGCCTAGAGGGATTTTTTTTTTCTTTTTTTTTTTTTTTGAGACAGAGTCTCGCTCTGTCACCCAGGCTGGAGTGCAGTGGCGCAATCTCGGCTCACTGCAACCTCCGCCTCCCGGGTTCACGCCATTCTCCTGCCTCAGCCTCCCGAGTAGCTGGAACTACAGGCGCCCGCCATCGTGCCCGGCTAATTTTTTGTATTTTTAGTAGAGACGGGGTTTCACTATGTTGGCCAGGATGGTCTCGAACTCCTGACCTTGTGATCCTCCCGCCTTGGCCTCCCAAAGTGCTGGGATTACAGGCGTGAGCTACCACGCCCAGCCTAGATGGGTTATTTTTAAAATCCCAATTGCACTTGTCCAAACCTTTGACCTACTTTGGTGCCACCCTTGTGTATCCAGGAAAAACAAAAAGGAGAAAAGGGAAGCGGAATGGAAGCGTGAGGGGCTGGCAACTCTACCCCAACAAAACACACAGAGGCCACCCCACTTCCTATCCCCTGAAAACAGCTACTCCTCCTCAGACTAATGTCACTGCCCACATCTGGGCACCGCGAAGCCGGGAGGTCATGAGTGCCCAGAACAGACAGTCCCCAGTGAAGACGAGAGAAAAGAAAGCAGGGATGAGGAACAGTGTCCTCGGTTCTTCTTCAGGCAGAGGTGGGGCCTCCAAGCACTCTTCCTACCTCTGCAGGCACCCATGGGCCAGAACTGCCTGGAGCTCCCACTGCTCCCAGAATTCCCAGACCCGCCCTGGGAAGGAGCCTGGTGAAGTCCCTGGAGAGACCCAGCCCTGCTGTTGACTCCAGACAACCTCTGTCAGGCCAAAGCCAGCGTGTCAGAGGCAAAAAGCTCCGACCTACCAGCAGTTCAGGATCTGGCATCTAGAAACCCCACGTGTGAATGTACAGGGGTGGGCTTAGGGCACCCGCGCCCAACTCCCTTGACCAGAAGTGAGCCGCCAAACATCCAGATGCCAAACCTCCTCTTCCAACTTGCTCAGGTGCACATGCACCACCCACGCGGGGCATTCTTACCATCTCCAGGCTTAGGAGACCAGGATTAGCAGACGTAAAGAGCTTATACCAATCAATACGGATAGAAAGATGAACAGGAGGAGGATAATGCAACAGAAGCAATCAACATGTTAAATACACGGACCTCTGACACGCGATTCCACGTCTAACAATCCATCCTCTAACACACTTGCAATGTGCACAAAGACAGACAGGCTCAAATGTTCACTGCAGCATCGTTTCTAACAGTAAAAAAATAAAAACAACTTAAAAGTCTGCAGAAAATTGGTTAAAAGAAGCTACACTCACAGAATAAAATACAAGTACTATAAACTATAGGTCAATAAATTAGATAACTTCGATAAAATGAACAAATTCCCTGAAAAACATAACCTATCACAACTGACTCAGTAAGAAATAGAAAATCTAAAGACATATAACAAATAAAAAGATCAAATTAATGATCAAAAAAACGACGCACGAAGGAAAGCCCAGACCCAGGTGGCTTCATTTGTAAATTCTACCAAACGTTTAAAGAAAAGTTAATACGAATTCCTCATACTTACTCTCAAGAAAGTCAAAAGAAAGCCCGCAGAATGCTAGGAAATATTTGCAAATTGTATATCTGATAAAGGACGTGTCTCTACAAAAACAAACTCTTACAACTCAGTCAGAAAAAGACAGCTCAATTTAAAAACGGGCAAAGGATCTAAATACACATATACCCAAAGAAGACATACAAAGGAACAATAAGTACATGAAAAGACACTCAAGCCATTAGTCATCAGGAAATGCAAATCAAAACCACAATGAGACACCACTCATACCACTAACATAGCCACGATCAAAACACAGACTATCACAGGCGTGAGCAAGGCTGTGGAGAAATCAGATCCCTCATCTATTGCTGGTAGGAATGTCAAACAGTACAGCCATTGTGGAAAATCATTTGGCAATTCCCGGAAATGTTCAACACGGAATTATGACCACACAACTCAGCAATTCGACCCCCAGGAATATACACAAAAGAATTGAAAGCAGGTACTCAAGCAAATACTTGTACACAAACATTCACTACTGCAGTATTCACTCTTGCCAAACGGTGGGTACAACCCAAATGTCCATCAACTGACGAATAAACAAAATGTGCTGTATCCATACGATGGAATAATATTCAGCCAATAAAAATAACATATACTGATACCTGCCACAACACTGCTGACCCTTGAGTGCATTACACCAAATGAAAAAAGGTAGAGATAGGGCCGGGTACGGTGGCTCACACCTGTAATCCCAGCACTCTGAGAGGCTGAGGCAGGCGGATCACGAGGTCAGGAGTTCAAGACCAGCCTAGCCAACATGGTGAAACCCCGTCTCTACTAAAAATACAAAAATTAGCTGGGCTTGGCGGCGGGTACCTGTAATCTGAGCTACTTGGGAGGCTGAGGCAGGAGAATCGCTTGAACCTGGGAGGCAGAGGTTGCAGTGAGCAGAGATCGCACCATTGCACTCCAGCCTGGGCAACAGAGCAAGACTGCCTCTCAGTAAATAAGTAAAATAAATAAATAAATAAATAAATAAATAAGTACTGATATGTGAACCAAATGGATGACAAATTCCCTCACTACAGGAGGAGGTATAGAAAAGCAGTTAAGAACCTGCCTCTGTACCCGCATGACCCAGCAGTGCCACTCCTAGACACCTACACAAGAGAATGGAAAATACACGTCCACACAAAAACTCTTACATAAGGCCAGGCGTGGTGGCTCAAGCCTGTAATCCCAGCACTTTGGGAGGCCGAGGCGGGCGGATCACGAGGTCAGGAGATCGAGACCATCCTGGCTAACACGGTGAAACCCCGTCTCTACTAAAAATACAAAAAATTAGCTGGGCATGGTGGCGGGCGCCTGTAATCCCAGCTACTCAGGAGGCTGAGGCAGGAGAATGGCGTGAACCCGGGAGGCGGAGCCTGCAGTGAGCCAAGATCGCGCTACTGCACTCCAGCCTGGATGACAAAGTGAGACTCCATCTCAAAAAAAATTTAAAAAAGACAAAAGTCAGAGATAAAGGACCATAATTCCATTTTAATCAAATGTCCAGAGTATGCAACCTCATAGAGACAGAAAGAAGATGAGCGCTTGCTTAAGCTGAGGGGGATGGGGGATTGGAAGGTGATAGCTAAAAGGTACGGATTTCGTTTCAAAGCAATAAAAAGGTTCTAAAACTGATTATGATGGTGGTTACACAGCTCCGTGAATACCACCAAAAACCACTGAATTGTACACTTTATTTTATTTTTTATTTTTTGAAATGGAGTTTCGCTCTTTTCACCCAGGCTGGAGTGCAATGGCGCGATGTCAGCTCACTGCAACTTCCACCTCCTGGGTTCAAGCGATTCTCCTGCCTCAGCCTCCGGAGTAGCTGGGATTACAGGCATGCGCCCCCATGCCCAGCTAATTTTTGTATTTTTGGTAGAGACAGGGTTTCACCATGTTGGCCAGGCTGGTCTTGAACTCCTGACCTCAGGTGATCTGCCCACCTTGGCCTCCCGAAGTGCTGGGATGACAAGCGTGAGCCATCGTACCCGGCCAAATTGTACACTTTAAATGGGTGACTTTATGATACGTAAATTATATCTCAATAAAGCTGTTCAAAAAAACTATACAATCATTCAAAAAGACAGCAACAGATTCATGTTGCTTACATATGACACTCTCCAAGATATATTAAGTTGAGGGGTGGAGGAAATCAGAGACAATACATTGAATATAATCTCAATTTTATAAAAACAGCCAGACACGGTGGTTCACACCTGTAATCCTAGCTACACAGGAGGCTGAGGCAAGGAGGGTTGCTAGAGCCCAGGAGTTCAAGGCTGCAGTGAGCTATGATCATGACACTGTACCCTACCCTGGGTGACACAGTGAGGCTCCATCTCTTAAAAAAAAAAAGATACTGTATATAATGTATGCATATAAATTCATAGAAAATGATCTGGAAGACCATACCTCAAACTATCCAAAAGCCATTATATCAATAAATGAGGGGTCTGGTGCAGTGGTGGCTCACACCTGTAATCCCAGCACTTTAGGAGGCTGAGGCGGGCAGACCACATGAGCCCAGGAGTTCGAGACCAGCCTGGCCAACATAGTGAAACCCTGTCTCTACTAAAAATAACAAAAATTAGCTGGGTGTGGTGGCGCACACCTGTAATCCCAGCTACTCGGAAGGCTGAGGCATGAGAATCACTTGAACCCAAGAGGTGGAGGCTGCAGTGAGCTGAGATCCCACCACTGCACTCCAGCCTGAGCGACAAAGTGAGACTGTCTCAAAAGAAAAAAAAAACAGAAAAATGTGCAAAGGACATGAACAAATGATTAAAGGACACACATAAAATAACCAATGAACACATGGAAACAAACCCAACCTCTCTAGTTATGAAAGAAATTAAGATCACAGTAAGATAACATCTTTCACTATCAGATCAACCAGTGTTGGCAAGGATATGTGGCAGGAACATATAGCTGGCAGGAATGAGAAACAGTACAGCCACTGTGTCCAGTCTGCAGGCCCCGGGCTGCAGGAACTCTGCTGAGTGCACACCTGATACAGCTTTCCGAAAGGCACCATGTATCCAAACCGTTTAAAATATCCACGTCCTTTGGTCCAGGAAACCCACTCTAAGGAATTTACCCTAGAACAATATCCGGGCCATGCCACAAGAACACATGTACAAGGATGTTTGTCCCAGCACTGTTTAAGGGCCAAAAAGTCTAAGCAATGGGGGAAGTACCCAACCGTGAAAGGAAAAGTAAATAAGGCACAGGGGTACACTCATACAATAAACGACAAGAGGAGGTCTGTGCTCATGATGCTACTGCAAAGATTCACAGTGCATTGCTAAGTGAGAAAAATAGAGTTTTGAACAAGATGATCCCATTGTTTCCATGAAACATAAAGAATGTGTTTGTATAGAGAGACACAGGACTGCATCTGAGGGCATGCATCACCCCCACGGAGAAAAATATCCCAAAGGATACACAACAAAATGAGGCTGAAGGTACAGATGATTTTTCCCTTTGTGCTTTTCAGTATTTATTTTATTTTATTTTATTTTTTCTGAGACACAGTCTCACTCTATCGCCCAGGCTGGAGTGCAGTGGCGCAATCTTGGCTCACTGCAACCTCCGCCTCCTGGGTTCAAGCGATTCTCCTGCCTCAGCCTCCCAAGTACCTGGGACTACAGGCGCCCACCACCAAACCCAGTTAATCTTTGTATTTTTAGTAGAGACAGGGTTTTACCATGTTGGCCAGGCTGGTCTTGAACTCCTGACCTCAAATGATCCGCCTGCCTCGGCCTCCCCAAGTGCTGGGATTACAGGCGTGAGCCACTGCGCCCAGCCTAGGTTTCACGTCTTTTTATTTTCGTTTGTTTTTGAGACAGGGTCTCATTCTGTCACCCAGGCTGAAGTGCAGTGGCATGATCACAGCTCACTGCAGTCTCGATCTCCTGGCCTCAAGCGATCCTCCCACCCCAGCCTCCCAAGTAGCAGGGACTACAAGCACTGCCACCACACCCAGCCAATTTTTGTATTTTTAGTAGAAACAGGGTTTCATCATGTTGCCCAGGCTGGTTTTGAACTCCTGAGCTCAAGCGATCCTCCCGCCTCAGCCTCCCAAAGTGCTGGGATTACAGGTGTGAGCCACCGCACACAACAAGTTCGACCTCTTGAAGAGAGAAGCATCAAAGAATTCATGGACACATCTTAAAACCAAAATGTCAACGAAGGCTTTTTGCAAGACACAAGATCCCAGACAGACCTTAAAGGATCAAGAGAAATCACTGGATAGAGAGGGGTGAGGAGACTGTGGCACTCGGGCAGCAGGAACTGAATGGGCAAAGACAGAAAAGAGAAGCAGCTCGGCACACAGTCAGTGAAGCGTTAGTGGATCAGCCCGGCTGGCTGGAGGCCTCTGGGTCAGACATCCTGAAGATCAGATGGGAGAGCAAAGCTGGGGCCTGGGCCTGAGAGATGCTGAACCCCAGAACTCAGGCTTCGGCTGCAAGGTCATGCAGAGTGATTTAGGTTTAGGTGCAGCAGAAACACACAGGAGGCAGCAGAGCCCGGTGGTCGAAGCCCAGGTCTGGGGAGTGGGCAACCTGCTACTGCCCAGCTGTGTTGCATGAGGCATGTTAACCTCTCTTCATTCCTCTTTTAAGTTCCTCACCTGAAAATTGAAGCAGGCCGGGCGCGGTGGCTCACGCCTATAATCCCAGCACTTAGGGAGGCTGAGGTGGGTGGATCACTTGAGGTCAGGAGTTCAAGACCAGCCTGGCCAACATGATGAAACCCCATCTCTACTAAAAATACAAAAATTAGCTGGGCATGGTGGCGGGCACCTGTAATCCCAGCTATTTGGGAGGCTGAGGCAGGAGAATTGCTTGAGCCTTGGAGGCAGAGGTTGCAGTGAGCTGAGATCACACCATTGCCCTTCAGCCTGGGTGACAGAGCAAGACTCTGTCTCAAAAAAAAAAAAAAAAAAAAAAATTGAAGCAAATAGTTCCTGACTTCAGCGCTCTTAGGCAGATGAGGTGAGAACAGGCGTAAGAAGTGCCCAGCCAGGGTCTGGTCTGCAGTGAATGCCCAGTAAATAGCAGCTCCTAGAAGGAGCTATGGGAAAGCTCCCTCTGGAAGCATGCTTTGTCCTGTTGGAGGTGGGCTAGCAGCTTCAAGATACTTTTTCTCGATTTCATTGGTCTTCCCAGAGACAGTGTCTTTAGAAGACTGTTAGAAATGAGTCTGGCTGGGCGCATTGGCTCACACCTGTAATCCCAACATTTTGGGAGGCCGAGGTGGGCAGATCACCTAAGGCCAGGAGTTTGAGACCAGCCTGGCCAACATGGTGAAACTGTCTCTATTAAAAATACAAAACTTAGCCAGGCATGGTGGCACAGGCCTGTGATCTCAGCTACTTGGGAGGCTGAGGCAGGAGAATCACTTGAACCTGGGAGGTGGAGGTTGCAGTGAGGCAAGATTGTGCCACTGCACTCCAGCCTGGGCAACAGAGCAAGACTCCATCTCAAAAAAAAAAGAAGAAGAAGAAGAAGAAGAAAAGAAATGGGTCTGAATGAAGATGCCCCATGGCCTGGGGCTGGCACAGTTGGTGAGAAGGGCTATGATTCAGCCTCAGCCATGAGCAACGTGCTGGGTGGATGATCCCTGCATGGACAGTGCCCAGCAGCAGAAATCAGCCAGTGGCAGCATGGCCTTGGCTGGGCCGGCCCCACTTCTCAGCGACTTGCTGCACTTTCCAATGGGACAGTTGGCAGGGAGTGAGTCTCCTTTTCCACCCAGAAGCAGCGTGACTCAGGCCAGCCGGGAACAGCAGCTCAGCCTTTCGGACACACCCTCATCCACACACCCTGAGATGGCTGCATACAGCCAAGGGCACATAGCAGGCACTCAGTTAACGCTCAGGGCACACAGAAGGCACTCAGTTAATGCTCAGGGCACACAGCAGGCACTGAGTTAATGCTCAGGGCATACAGCAGGCACTGAGTTAATGCTCAGGGCACACAGCAGGCACTCAGTTAATGCTCAGGGCATACAGCAGGCACTCAGTTAATGCTCAGGGCATACAGCAGGCACTCAGTTAATGCTCAGGGCACACAACAGGCACTCAGTTAATGCTCAGGGCATAGAGCAGGCACTCGGTTAATGCTCAGGGCACACAGCAGGTGCTCAGTTAATGCTCACTGACTCACTGGCATTGCCCCAGAGACTAACGTCCTGCCCGGGACAGCCTCCGGAAGGGGTCTCCATCCACCAGGAAGCCAGCCGCTGGATTTTCACAGAGGCATGTAATTGGGTCTCCTCATCAATAGCAGCGTCCATGCAGCTGTCTAATGTATTAGCAGCAGCAGCTCTTGCCACCCAAATCAGAGGGGCGGCCAGCATTTCCCCGTGGACTCTGCGTTCACAGCCAGTCAATAGATAACCACGCAGAGCCAGCACTCAGCTGAGGAACTCCGTCTGGGCCCCAAGTTCCACCCCTGTCCCCACCACCTCCCGATACAGAAACAGCCTGGTCTTCCTTCAGAAAGGCAGAGAAGTCTTTGGGGAGGAGGATGCTGGAGGAGGTCCCAGGTAGCAGGGGCAGACGTGAACAAGAACCACAAGGAGTAATTTAGGCTTGGGAAATCTTGAGGGATCTTTCCCAATGCCCCTACTTGCCGGTTCGGGTGCCAGCCCACTGCCCAGGCGGCAAAGCAGAAGAAGCGACGGGAAAAGATGGCACTCGTGTGAGTCCAGGACCCCCTCTCTCCATCTCACCACCCTGTGCCCTCCCTGCCTCCCCCTGGTCCACAGCAGCTCTACACACAGGCACAGCTTCTCCTGCAGACAGGCAGCCACCTGTTCCTTCCCTCTTGTTGCACCCGAGTCCAGGACCCCTTCTCTCCATCTCATCACCACCCTGTGCCCTCCCTGCCTCCCCCTGGTCCACAGCAGCTCTACACATGGACACGGCTTCTCCTGCAGACAGGCAGCCACCTCTTCCTTCCCTCTTGTTGCACCCGAGTCCAGGACCCCTTCTCTCCATCTCATCACCACCCTGTGCCCTCCCTGCCTCCCCCTGGTCCACAGCAGCTCTACACACAGGCACAGCTTCTCCTGCAGACAGGCATCCACCTGTTCCTTCCCTCTTGCCGCACCCCAGCTCATGAGACCCTCGCCCCTGCAACACTCTTGCCTCTCTCCTCTCTGACCCTCGCTGGAGAAGTGACTCTCACTGGCCCCACCTGCAGCATGCTGGGTCCTTGCTGAGCTACCTGCCCTGGCCCTGGGCTCCTCTCCTCTGCTTCTGGAGGTGGGGGTGTGTTTATGTGTCAGCAGCCTCGCTAAAATCCCTGCTCCTGGGAGGCACCACACACTCATGTTCACAGAACCACGCTGTCTGAGTGCTTGCGCCTTTGCATGGGGCTGAAAACATGACCGCTAACTCACAGAGCTGTGGCAGGACCACACGGGCCAGCGTGTACAGAGCCTGGCACACAGGTCGCTCAATGAGTCCTTGCAATCGCCTCGTTATTCCCGCCCACCCCAATCCAGGACACACGGAGGGGACAAGGCTACATCAACAGCAAACTAAAAACATTACCAGAAGACAAGGATGGAGGAGCAGGTGTTTTGCACCTACGTGGGTCCCAGGAAAATCGGGGGGAGATGCGGGCCAGAAAGTGCTGGGGGGAGAAGCAAACAGGTCAGAGTGAGTTTCTCATCCGGATGAAGAGGGAAGACATGACCAAGGAAAAGGATTTCTGGAGAGTTCTCTAAACCCGTTTCTGGAAAGCTGGGGAAACAGGGCACGCCCTGGGAGCGGGATGGGATGTGTCCCATGTCGTCTGACCACCGAGCACGCCACACTGCCCGACTCCGCTACCGGTCCAGAAGTCCCCATCCACAGGGCAAGCAGGATGAGAACCAGCCGGCCACCAGGCTGGCTGCAGAACAGAAGGTCCTCGAGGGCAGAGCTCTTCGTTTGCTGTGATCCTTGCCATATCCCTGTGCTATTAATAGAACTGCCTAGCACACAGTAGATGCTCAATAAACATTTGCCAGATGAATGACTAAATATTCTGCTAAGCAAGATGCAACGAAGCAAGCGGTGAGGGCTGAGTCTTGGCCTGGGAGTGGCCAGGGCGGGCTTGTTGGGATGGCTAGAGTCAGGGCTGGACGGGCCAGTGTTACTGCTATTAACAGCTGTCTGTGCTCTGACCACAGACTGCACCCCTCACCCTGGATGGCCAACCCTATGCCCAGTGGGTGCTCCCAATAATGAACCGTCCTCCAGAATCAGGTCCTGTTCCAACCAAGTCTCCCCCCACCACCCCCGCCAAGCCACCTGCTTGCTCCTCTTTCCCTTCTCTGGTCTCCTTTTTCCACCAACTCCTGATGCTCACGGCTCCTTTGCTGCTGGAGCGTTTCAGAGGTGCCATTTCACTATGTCACTGGGGCCAGGAGCCTGCAATGGCTCTCTGTTAAGTGTGGCAGTGCTAATGCCACAGAACCACCTGGGGGCTAGTTAAAACACAGTTTCCGGCCGGGCACGGTGGCTCACGCCTGTAATCCCAACACTTTGGGAGGCCAAGGCGGGCGGATCACCTGGGGTCAGGCGTTCAAGACCAGCCTGACCAACATGGAGAAACCCTGTTTCTACTAAAAATACAAAAATGAACCAGGTGTGGTGGCGGGCGCCTATAATCCCAGCTACTTGGGAGGCTGAGGCAGGAGATTCACTTGAACCCGGGGGGTGGAGGTTGCAGTGAGCCGAGATCACGCCACTGCACGCCAGCCTGGGCGAAGGAGCAAAACTCTGTCTCAAAAATAAAAAAAGTTTCCTAGGCCCCACCCCTAGAGCTTCTGATTCTTGGCCAGAGAATGTGCGTTTCTAAGAAGTTCCCAAGTGAGAACCACTGACCTATGGGGTTCATCATGTTGAATGCTGCTGCTGTGTGGGAGGGACCATCTCTCAGCAGAGATACCAGAGCAGAGATGTGGCAAGGTGGGGAAGGGTGGGAAGATGGTTGGGTTTTTATAGGACATCTTAAATTAGGCAGACTCATATTTAAATTCTAAGACAGGACTAGAAGATGCCAATGACTTCAGGCACGAGGCAAGCAACCTAAACGAGTGATGGGAGAAGTAAAGAGATGGAATCCGTAGTAATTAAAAACCTCCCAACAAAGAACAGTCCAGGGCCAGATGGCTTCATAGTGAAGCCGACCAAACACTTACAGAAGAATTCACACCAGTCCTTCTCACACTCTTCCAAAAATAGAAGAGGAGGAAACACTTCCTAACTCATCCTATGAGGCCAGCGTTATCAAAGTGACACAAAGGAACCACAGAAAACTACAGGCCAGTATCTTTATGGATAGAGTCAGACATCCTCAACGAAGTACCAATAAACCAAATCCAACAGCGTACTGTTATATTCCATGACCAAGTGGAATTTATCCTAGGAATGCAAACTCAGTTCAACACAAGAAAATCAATGTAATAGGCCGGGCACGGTGGCTCACACCTGTAATCCCAGCACTTTGGGAGGCTGAGGCAGGAGGATCACCTGAGGTCAGGAGTTCAAGACCAGCCTGGCCGACATGGTGAAAGCCCGTCTCTACTAAAATATACACAAATTACCCAGGCGTGGTGGCACGTGCCTATAATCCCAGCTACTCGGGAGGGTGAGGCATGAGAATCGCTTGCACCCAGGGGAAAGAGGTTGCAGTGAGCCCAGATTGTGCCACTGTACTCCAGCCTGGGCGAAAGAGCAAAACTCGTCTCAAAAAAAATAATAATAAAATAAAGAAAAAAAAAGAAAATCAATGTATCACATTAACAGGATGAAGAAGAAAAAATACATGATTATCTCAATTGATACAGAAAGAGCACGACAAAAGCTAATATCCTTTCATGATATAAACTCTCAGAAAACTAAGAATAAAAGGGAACTTCCTTGACATAAAAGGCATTAAAAAAAAAAAGACATAGCTAACATCATACTCAGTGATGAAAAACTAAAAGCTTTCCCCTTAAGATGAAGTAGCAACAAAACAAGGAAACTCACTTTCACCACTACCATTGGGTGTACTAAAAGTTCTAGCCAGAACAAAGAAATAAAAGGTATCTACCACGGAAAGGAAACAGTAAAACTATCTCTATTGTCAGATGAGACGTTCCAACACAAAAAAACCTCACAGATTTCACACATGCACAAAATCTACTAGAGCTGATAAAGGAAGTCTGCAAAATTGCAGAGTACAAAAATCAGTTGTGTTTCTATACACCAGCAATGAACAATCGGAGAGACACAATCAGAAAAGACAAACAATAAAAATAATAAAAATAATAAATTAAAATAAACAATCAATAAACAATCAGAAAATTAAGAAAACAATTCCATTTTAAAATAGCATTAGGCTGGGCACGGTGGCTCACGCCTATAATCCCAGCATTTTGGGAGGCCGAGGCGGGTGGATCACGAAGTCAGGAGATCGAGGCCATCCTGGCTAACACAGTGAAACCTCGTCTCTACTAAAAATACAAAAAAAATCAGCCGGGCGTGGTGGCGGGCGCCTGTAATCCCAGCTACTGAGGCAGGAGAATGACGTGAACCCGGGAGACAGAGCTTGCAGTGAGCCGAGATAGTGCCACTGCACTCCAGCCTGGGTGGCAGAGCAAGACTCCGTCTCAAAAAATAAAAAATAAAATAGCATTAAAAAGAATAAAATACCTAGGAACAAATTTAACCGAGTGGCTGGCACACTAAGCACTACAAAACATTGCCCAATGACATTAAAGAAGACATAAATAAATGGAACGACATTCCATGTTCATGGATTGGAGATTTAATACTGTTAAGGTGGCAGTACCATTCAAAGTGATCTACCTATCTAACGCGATCTCTATCAGAATCCTAGCTGGATGTTTTGAAGAAACTGAAAAGCTCCTCCTAAATTTGATAGGGAAATTCCATCCAGAATACTCAAAACCTTCTTAAAGAGGAAGGTCAAAGGTGGAGAACTCATATTTCCCAATCAATACTTACTATAAAGCTACAGTGATCAAAACCGTGTGGTCCTGGCAATAACAGGCATATGAACCGACAGAGTAGAATTAAGAGTCCAGAGATAAACCCACACATCTATGGCCAACTGTGTTTTGACAGGATTGCCAAGACCAATCCTAGGGAAAGAATAGTCTTTTCAACAAATGGCGCTGCAAAAAAGCTGGATATCCACGTGCAAAGAATGAAGTTGGTAGTTCTCTTTTTAATGTTTTTAATTTTTTGAGCAATCTCCGTGCTGTTTCCCATAGCGGCTGCACCAATTTACATTTCTACCAACAGTGTTACAAGAGTTCCAATTTCTCCACATCCTCACCAATGCTTGTTATCTTTTGTGGTTTGGTTTTTTTTTTTTTTTTTTTTTTGGTTTTGCTGTTTTGAGACGGAGTCTCGCTCTGTCGCCAGGCTAGAGTGCAATGGCGCAATCTCGGCTCATAGCAACCTCTGACTCCTGGGTTCAAGCGATTCTCCTGCCTCAGCCTCCTGAGTAGCTGGGATTACAGGGGCGGACACCACCATACCTGGCTAATTTTTTGTATTTTAGTAGAGACTGGTTTCACCATGTTGGCCAGGATGGTCTCGATCTCCTGACCTCATGGTCCGCCCTCCTTGGCCTCCCAAAGTGCTGGGATTACAGGCGTGAGCCACCATGCCTGGCCTCTTCTGTGGTTTTGATACTAGCCATCCTAACAGGTCTGAGGTGATATATCACTGTGGTTTTATTTGCATTTCCCTGATGATTAACGACCCTCTCATATACCTGTTGACCACTTGTATGTCTTCTTTGGAGAAGTGTCTATTCAAGTCTTTAGTACACGTTTTTGTTTGGTTTTTGTTTGTTTTTTTTTGTTTGTTTGTTTTGGAGACAGAGTCTTGCTCTGTCACCCAGGCTGGAGTGCACTGGTACGATCTCAGCTCACTGCCTCATCCACCTGCCACGTTCAAGCAATTCTCCTGCCTCAGGCTCCCAAGCAGCTGAGATTACAGGCGTGTGCCACCACACCCAGCTAATTTTTAGTAGAGACAGGATTTCACCATGTTGGCCAGCCTGGTCTTGAACTCCTGACCTCAGATGATCTGCCTGCTTCAGCCTCCCAAAGTGCTGGGATTACAGGCGTGAGCACTGTACCCACCCCTATAGTGCACTTCTTAAATCAGGTGAGGCTTTTTTATTATTGAGCTGTAGGAGTTCCTTATACATTTTAAAAACTGACCCCTTATCTGATATATGGTTTGCAAATATTTCCTCCCATTCTGTAGGCTGCCTTTCCACCCTGTTGATTGTTTCCTTTGCTGTGCAGAAGCCTAATAATTCAATCTCTATAAAATATCTAGGATGGGTAAATCTATAAAGACAGAAAACAGATTCGTGATTGTCAGGGGCTTGGGGGGAGGAGAAAGTGGGGAGTAACTGCTTAAAGGGGTTTTATTTGGGGATGATCAAATATTTTGGAACTAGGTCAGGTGTGGTGGTTCACACCTGTAATCCCAGCACTTTGGGTGGCCAAGGCGGGCAGATCACTTGAGGTCAGGAGTTCAAGACCAGCCTGACCAACATGGTGAAACCCCATCTCTACTAAAAATACAAAAATTAGCTAGGCGTGGGTGGTGAGTGCCTGTCATCCCAGCTACTCAGGAGGCTAAGGCAGGAGAATCGTTTGAACTCAGGAGGCGGAGGTTGCAGTGAGCCAATATCACACCACTTCACTCCAGCCTGGGTGACAGAGCAAGACTCCGTCTCAAAAATAAAATAAAATAAAAATTGGAATTAGATAGACGTGATGGTTGTACGACATCACAAAAGTACTAAACGCCACTGAGTTGTTCACTTTAAGATCATTAATTTTATGTTATATAAATTTCACCAATTTTTTTAAAAGAGAAAAAGAGCATGAGACTGAGACAATGGTACACTGAAGAGCACACGGCCATTCCAAAGGGGGCGGCCACTATTTACTTATCTCTCACTAAGCTGTCCAGCAGAAAGGCAAGCTCAGTGTTGCTGAAGTTTTCAAAATAAGCCAGAAATCCAATTTTTTGTGTGAGTCTCCCAATTTTTGTACATGGATGACACAAAATTTTAAAAATCTCTATGTGGACCAAACGTAATCATTCTATGAGCCAAATCAGCCCCCAAGTTTCAGCCCCAAACACAAGTTTCAAGCTATGGAAGCCACTGAATGTTCCTGAGCTGGAAGATGAGATGATATTAAGCAATGTTGTAGGAAGTCCCAAGGTATCCTCTGTTGGGCACTGGTGATGTGCCAGGCAGGTATAAGGCACTGAACTGGGCACTTTCCATACGCCTCACACGTACTCGGGGAGGGAGGCCTGGAGGGTTGGAGACTTAGAGTGGTTAAGCAACTTGCCCAGAATGAATCCTGATTCAAATTCAGATCCATCAAGGTTTGCCAACTCAGCATCTCACGTGCATGTCTGACAGGCACCTCAAACTTCCCAAGTTAGAGGCCAAAACAGGAACTCTCATTCATTCTTTCCCTCAAAAGCCATCTCAGTGACACTCAGGACAAAGCCCAGAGAGTCGGCTGGATGCAGTGGCTCACGCCTGTCATCCCAGCACTTTGGGAGGCCGAGGCAGGTGGATCACCTGAGGTCAGGAGTTCAAAACCAGCCTGACCAACACGGTAAAACCCCGTCTCTACTAATAATACAAAAATTAGCCAGGCGTGGTGGCACATGTCTGTAATCCCAGCTACTCCAGAGGCTGACACAGGAGAATCACTTGAACCTGGGAGGCGGAGGTTGCTGTGAGGAGGTTGCGGTGAGCCGAGATCACACCACTGCACTCCAGCCTGGGCGACAAGAGCAAAAACTCTGTCTCAAAAAAAAAAAAAAAACCCAAGAGTCATCACTGATGTCTTGATCCCTCATCCTCCACATCCAATCCTCCTGGCAAGTCCGCCATCACAAGGCATCCCACATCTCACCACCTCTCCTTACCTGCACTGCCTCCCTCATCTCACGGTGCCTCAACTGGACAGCGCCTCGGGCTCCTGCCTCCTTCCAACCCCCTCTCAAATCAGTTCCCCACAGAACAGCCACATGGTCTTTTTTTTGTTTTTGTTGTTTTTATTTCATTTTATTTTTAATTTATGTTTTAGATGGAGTCTTGCTCTGTTGCCCAGGCTGGAGTGCAACGGCACAATCTCAGCTCACCACAACCTCCGCTTCCACCTCCTGGGTTCAAGCGATTCTCCTGCCTCAGCTTCCCGAGTAGCTGGGATTACAAGCACGTGCCACCATGCCCAGCTAATTTTTGTGTTTTTAGTAGAGACGGGGTTTCACCACGTTGGCCAGGCTGGTCTCAGACTCCTGACCTCAAGTGATCCACCCGCTTCGGCCTCCCAAAGTGCTGGGATTACAGGCGTGAGCCACCGTTCCCGGCCCACGCGGTCTTTTGAAACATCAATCAGGTGAGATCAGTTCGCAGCTTAAAACTCTCCACTATACCACTACCCACACCCTGCCAGGGTCCAGAGAGGTTGGGCCGTTTCTGGCTGGTCACAAGGTCCCCGGTCCCCCCACAGCATCCTGGAGCCCATGGCGGTGCAGCCTGAGATTGGGGAACTCCTTGGTCCAACCCCACAAACAAGTGTCCTGTCACTCCTCACACTCGTCCCTGAATTGTCACCCTTGACTCCCATAGAGAAAAAGATGACACAGCCAAGGAGGGAGAAGAAAGGCAAGAAAACAGCCAGTCCCGGGCTGGCAGCAGGCAGGGGAAAGACGAAGAGCCTCACAGTCCCCACCTGGCCAAGTCCGCGTGGGCCCCCCATGTTCACCAGGAGCGGGCACAAAGGGTCTGCCAAAGCTGGAAGGGGCGTCTGCAGAGCCTGCAGGGACAGTGTGGCTTGGCAGCAGAGGACCACGGCTCACACTCTCCTCGCTGGGCCTCACACTAACCACACTCTGAGGCTCCGTGACAGGACACAGAGTCCCCAGAACCACAGCCCAAAGAAGAGAGGGCGGGACCCGCAGCCTGGCCAGCTCCAAGCGTCCAGGCCAGGCGGAAGCCCAGCTGAGGAGTCCCTCCCCCTCTCGCCATGGCAACTCCCACCTATGCACAGCCTTTGGCTGGCAGTGGGTTCCCTCGGGCCCCGGCAGGGAGCCGAGAAGCCTTCCCAGAGGAACACAGAAGTGAGTTCTCTCCAGCCCTCTGCCAGGACCCACCTCGAATCTCCAAGCCAGGGAGGAAAGGCCCGGGTGCTGAGTCTGTCCCCTGCCCTCCACATCCCCCACCCAGAGGCCCCTCTGTCCCTGGTCTCGGTTCCTCCTTCCCCTGAGTGAAGGGTGGCTTCCATGACCCGTGGCAGGCAAACAGCCACTCGGGGCTCCCAGCCAGGTGACAACAGGAGAGGCTCTGTTCCCCACCCCCTCCAGGCAGCAGGGCCTGGACGGGCATCCCTCCACAGCCCAGGGACACTCACGAAAAGGTACTTTAAGAAATCCATCTCCCGCCAGGGCCTGGGTCCCGAGAGTCGGGGCCCTGCTGCCTTTAGCTCCACTGCAGCTGCTACCACCACGGCGGCGGCTGCTGCTGACGCTGGACAACTTCCTTCAGATCAAACAAGGAACTACAGGACTCGGGTGTCCGCCCGAAGCTGTTAGTCCACGCTGACTAGCGCTGACCTTTGACCTGTCCTCTGCCGCGGGCGTTTTTCTGGGGAACCCAGGGCTGATGGAGGTGCCACACGTCTTACGTCATAAGGGCAAGGGGGTCCCTTCCAAGGGAGAGGCCCCACGCCAGCAGGTGATGAATGGACGCCCACTGGGGCCTAGGAAGGTAAAGGGGTGAGAAGCCTCCCCCCTCCATCCCTGCCCTGAGTGAGTTCTCAACACTGCTGGCCCGCGTGGCCGGACGGAAGGCACGACTGGGACACAGGAAACCAGCCACAGTGTTGGGCCTGAAGGAGACCCCGGGTCTTGTGTGTTTGGAGACTCCAGCAGGCTCCCCTTGGTGGGGGCCTCAATTTTCCCTTCTCTGAACTGGGAAGCCCTCTCTGTGCAAGAAAAATAAAAACAAGTAAAAGAGAGACCGGTGCCTGCATCTTTCGAGGCATTCCCACGCACCTCACACCACCTAAGAGGTGTGAAGAAAGAGCTAAAAGAGTAAGTGCGCCGGGCAAGGCGGCTCCCGCCTGTCATCCCAGCACTTTGGGAGGCCGAGGCGGGTGGATCACCTGAGGTCAGGAGTTCGAGACCAGCCTGGCCAACATGGCGAAAGCCCGTCTCTACTAAAAATACAAAAATTAGCTGGGTATGGTGGCGCATGCCTGTAGTCCCAGCTACTCGGGGGAGTGAGGCAGAGGATCACTTGAACCCGGGAGGCAGACATTGCAGTGAGCCAAGACTGTGCCACTGCACTCCAGCCTGGGCGACACAGCAGGACTCTGTCTCAAAAAAGAAAAAAAAAGAATAAGTGGTGGCTTGGAGGACTGGAAAGGGGTGTGCAGAGGCATAGGGAACCGTTTTCTTTGAGGAACAGCCTGAAGCATTTTTTTTGTTTTGTTTTGTTTTTTGAGACGGAGTTTCACTCTTGTTGCCCAGGCTGGAATGCAATGGGATGATCTCGGCACACTACAACCTCTGCCTCCTGGGTTCAAGAGATTCTCCTGCCTCAGTCCCCGAGTGGCTGGGGTTACAGGCACCCGCCACCATACCCGGCTAATTTTCGTATTTTTAGTAGAGATGGGGTTTTGCGACGTTGGCCAGGCTGATCTCAAACTCCTAACCTCAGGTGATCCACCTGCCTAGGCCTCCCAAATTGCTGGGATTACAGGCATAAGCCACCGCACCCAGCCAGATATTTATTTTTTTTATCCAAGGTGTTTTGTGTGTGTGTTACTCTGTTTTAAAAAAAATTAACATGGTTTAAATAAAG
Organism: Homo sapiens; assembly: GCF_000001405.40. Taxonomy (NCBI): domain Eukaryota; kingdom Metazoa; phylum Chordata; class Mammalia; order Primates; family Hominidae; genus Homo; species Homo sapiens. The sequence continues at coordinate 2,938,624 of NC_000017.11, read as the reverse complement.
ATAGCAGTGCTCATGCCCTGTAATTATTTTACCAAAAAAAATTAAAGATAGCGAATGGCTGGGGGAGACACACCATGAGCTCAGGGCCCAGAGGCACTTGGTGCTGTGGGGAAGGAGAAGCCAGCCCCGGCTCAGCCCAGGGATCCCCTGGGTCTCACAGTCTTTTTCCAACACTAATGACATGTCACGCTCCATACCCATCCAGGGCCCTCGGTTCTGTTCCAGCTTTGAGAGGAAAGCAAGGTCCCCAGCTTGGAAGGAAAGGAATGAATTTTTTAAACCCTCAAAACAAGGCAGTGTGGTGTGGGAGAAACAGCTCCAGACCTAGTGTGGGGCAGACAAGCTACTAACTCGTGGCCCTGCTGCTGACAAGCTGCATGGGTTGGTCACTCAGCCTCTGAGCCTCAGTTTCTATATCTATAAAATGGGAGAAATATAAGCCACTCTGCAAAGTGGCTGTAGAATAGGACATGACGTACGTGCTGTGTCCAGAGCAAGGTGAGACACGAAATGTCCTCTGTCAATGGGGATTGTGATGATCATCGATCCTTCCTCCCAGCCCTGGCTCCGTGCTCGCTCCCTGCTCCTGCCCAGCCTGCCACCAGGCACAAAGCCCGTCTCCTCTCTCCAGCACAGCCCTATCCTGTGCTTGCTTCAGCTCCAGAACCCCACAGTCTTCCAAGGGAGAACAGAGGCCAGGAAATGTCTCCAGGGGCTGGGGGAAGACACAGCTTAATCGAGGCCAGGCAGAGAAGACCTTGGCACAGGTCCATCCCCGGGGGCTTAAAATGACGCTGGAGGTCAGGGCATAAAGGAGGAGAGGAGCATAGCTCTAGCATGTGAACTGCACCACCTCACTTCCTTTGGAAGCTCCATGTGCTAGAGGGACCCCTAGCTGCAGAGAGGCCTGGCAATGTTCCTTCCAACTCAAAATTCTGACATAAAAGACTATCTTGGAGAAATGATATTGTCAAGTTCATGAGCCTCGCTGTCCCCTACTGAGCCCTTCTCTCCTTCCCCTGGAAAAAGGGACCCAGGATAAGGCTCGTGCATCCTCAGCATCCTTCCAGCTCCCTCCTGCACGTGCTGCTGGCCTGGCTCATCTCCACTCCTACTCAGAGCCAGTGAATCATTCAGCACAGTGTCCCCCAGCACACGCTGCCATGCCCGTTCCTGCAGCCCCAGCCTCAGGAACGTGGCGTGCCCCAAGCTGGAAGGACATGCCATATCCAGAACACTTCTGCAACCCCCTTGGCCACAGCATCCCAGGGTCCAGAAAACCAAGGATCCAGGCTCCTGCCTCTTTGCAGGAAGGCATTCAGAAGGAGCAAGGAAGAAGAGAGATGGAGAACCAACTTACTGATCTCCTCCAGGCCAGGCACTGGCTTGGAGCTGGAGACCAAGGAAGATCACCCTCGGTCCCTCTCCTCCTTCCCACTCCACTTTATTTGCTTGACTCCTACTTGGCCTTTAGGTCTTAACTTGGAGGTCACCTCCTCCAGGAAGCCCTCTTGGTCTGCACCCTCCTCCCTGTCCCAAGGTGGTACTCCCGTCCTACACATGCCCTATCCAACCACTTTAACTCTCAGCTTTAAAACTTCTCGTTTAATTAGCTGTTTCCCCCATTTCATCTGTAATCCCAGCACCTGGCACACAGATGCTCAGTAAACACTTGCTGAATGAATAACTGAAGAAAGGAACTGACTTCAGTCTGGTGACTATGACAATCATAGAAGCAAATAATTACAATCCGGAAAACGAAGAGCAAGGAGCATGGGTAAAGCCCACAGCTGCCTGGGCGCACAGAGGAGTGGGCAATGGCTCTCCTGCAAGGAAGGGGGTCCCGGGAGGACTTCCAGAGAGTTATTCCCTCTGTTTTGGAGATAAAGCCACAGAGGTAAAAAGGAAGTCAGGGCTGCGTCTAATGGTACACAGTAGAAGAGCAAGACTCAATATCAGAGCCCAGGACCCATTCCTACCACCTCCCATTTGACCCTCATGATCATCCATTTTGGGGCACCGGGGGAGGGTAACTAAAGCTCAGAGAGGTTAACTGGCCTGCTGAAGGTCACACAGCCTGTTACTAGCAAAGCCAGGTGTTCTGAGTGAAAGAGGTTCGAGGCAGGGAGGAAGGAGAGGAAGAGGGAGGAAGAAGGTGAGTGCGTTTGTCTGTGTTAACCTCAGAGGGCACAAAGGAGAATCTGGCTGGCGGAGAAGGCCCACAGCCCCTGGCAGGGTCATGAGCAGAGACCAGTGTGACCACACTCTGACATCCTCTCCATGGCCAGGGGAGGCAACCAAGCAAAGAAGGAGGCATGAAGGCCAGCGAGACAAATAGTACTTAAGAGGCAAAACTGGGTGGGGGGAGGGGGGAGGGATAGCATTAGGAGACATACCTAATGCTAAATGACGAGTTAATGGGTGCAGCACACCAACATGGCACGTGTATACATATGTAACAAACCTGCACGTTGTGCACATGTACCCTAAAACTTAAAGTATAATAATAAAAAAAAAAAAAGAGGCAAAACTGGCCACCGGCCACTGGAGGTGGAGACAGGGAGAGGAGATGGCGGTCTGCGCACATCTCCCCACCGTCAAATTAGCCTCCTGAGCCTCTAAATGAGACCTCTCTTCTCTCGAAACCAGAAACCCCACTATTAAGGATGCCCAGCAGTGATCATTCATTTATAAAATACCCCGGCTGGAGCAAACCCGCCAGATCGGCCGCGTTTCCTTCCTTGCTTGTGGTTTTTCTCCAGCAGCTGCAATCCGGTGAAGAGAGCATGGGACTGAGCGTCAGACAGACCAGCCTCCGAATCCCAGCCCGGTCACCGGCCAGCTGTGAGGCCTCGCGCCTCACTTGCCTCCTTTGTGACACTGGAGTAATGATCCCCATCCTCCGGCACTTCCGAAGATCAAATGAGGCCACAAATGTGAACGTGCTTGACATTGCAACAGTGATCGAACGACAAATGTCTGCCGGCTCTACGTGTACTGGATTTATAGAATTAATTTCAGGATGGGGGCGGGGGGGTGACATTTATTGATCTCTCACTCTATCTGTCAGACCCTTGACTAAAGATGTGGGACGTTCTCTTTTGTGTGTGTGTGTGTGTGACAGAGTTTCACTCTTATTGCCCAGGCTGGAGTGCAATGGCACAATCTCAGCTCACTGCAACCTCCGCCTACCAGGTTCAAGCAATTATCCTGCCTCAGCCTCCCAAGTAGCTGCGATTACAGGCACCCGCCACCACACCCAGCTTATTTTTTGTATTTAGTAGAGATGGGGTTTCACCATGTTGGTCAGTCTGGTCTTGAGCTCCTGATCTCAGGTGATCCACCTGCTGCGGCCTCCCAGAGTGCTGGGATTACAGGTGTGAGCCACTGCGCCTGGCCTGAATATGTTCTTTTATCTGATCCTCACGCCTACCTGTGAGGCAAGCACTATCATCACATCCACTCTGTCACTGAGAAAACTGAGGCTGAGAGTTAAACATCTAGAACGACAGGCAATGCAAACCCATAGTCAGCCTCCAGGGGCCAAGTTTTGAGCCTTCACTCTAACAGGGCTTGGGTGTATTGTCTAAATCAGCTGGTTGATGCAGATGGTACAGGATGCTGAGAGGCCAAATCCCACCCGTCTTCCCTAAAGCTTTTCTGAAGCCCCTCAGCTGGAATTCCCACGGCACTCGAGTTGGTTTTGGTAGGCGTCATATTCTGTTTCACACGAATAGCTAAGACTGATCTTTCCTCTAAACTGCACACCTTGCAGGCAGAGGCCATATTTACACACACCACAGTTGTGCACGCACCAGATTTCGTCAAACTAAAAGGACATCCACTGGAAGGTACACATTATTTTGTTCTCCGCTAAGAAAGCAAAAATGCTTCCAATTACAAATTACGGTGTGCTATTGCTCATGAGATGCACCCTGATTTCAGAGTTGTTAAATGAGAGGGAAGAAAGTGTCTTCGAAGCAATGAAATACAGTAGTAGACACTCAGTAATTATTTGTACTCAGTAATTATTTCTTGGGGTAACAGAAAGAACAGTGGATTTGAAATCTCAAGACTCAGGTTTGTGTCTTACCAGCTGGCTAAAAGGAGTATTTCATTTTCTTCTCTGCGCAATGGGGAAATCATTCTTCTTTTCTGCAAGAACCAGAAGAGTTCAAGAAAGTGCTTTGCAAGGCCGGGTGCGGTGGCTCACGCCTGTAATCCCAGCACTTTGGGAGGCCAAGGTAGGCAGATCACCTGAGGTCAGGAGTTCAAGACCAGCCTGGTCAACATGGTGAAACCCCCTCTCTACCAAAAATACAAAAATTAGCCTAGCATGGTGGCCCATGCCTATAGTCCCAGCTACTCAGGAGGCTGAGTCAGGACAATCACTTGAACCCAGGAGGCAGAGGTTGCAGTGAGCCGAGATCGTGCCATTGCACTCCAGCCTGGGCAACGGAACAAGACTCTGTCTCAAAAAAAAAAGTGCTTTGTAAACAGTCAAGTACTGAACCAACCTAAAGTACAAACAGGATAAAGATGAGGCATGGATGACGGACGCCATCCGTGGCTGTGACCAAAGACGGGTGACCCTGTGGGTATTTGCAAGAGGCTCTGTAAGGGCGTGGCTGCCTTGGGGCAATCGGCCCCATTTTTCCAAGAAACAACTGGGGCTCCTGCTTCCGAGCTGCCCACGCTGGTTAAGGCGTAAGGTTCCTACGCCACAGACTCTCCAAGGCAGGCTTTGCAGCGTCAGCTGGCCGAGCTCCTGGTCCTGATCCGGTCTTCAACCTGAAACTTCCAGTCTTCCCCCAAAGTGGGGCTCAGCTTCAGGTCTAAGCCTCTTAGTGGGGGAACTGGAAAAAAGCAGCTCTGGAAATCTCATCAGGTTATTCAAGACTAACCTTGCCAGGTCCGTAACAGGGTCAACTAGAGGGTTAGGCATTCTAGGAGAGGGAACAGCCCAGGCAAAGGCTTAGAGGCAGGAAAGTGAGCAGGGGGCTGGTTTGGCCTCGGTCTACCCAGCAGCCACAGCTGTGGTCCCATCTTCTCCACCGTGTCTCTCTCTAAAGAATGGGAATAAAGAGCCCCCCAGGCTGACAGAGTGGGAGAAAAGGGAGGTGTTGGCCTCCCGGAAAATCTCTGCTTCGCTCCAAGCTTCCTTGTCCCTGGAAAATGCAAAGCCCCATGGGCTCCGCAGCTTGTACCCTCTCCTAACTGGCCCTGGAAGGCAGGTGTCTGGCTGTGTCAGAGGCACGGCTGGCCCCCTCCCTCACTCCACGGTGGTCTCTGCCCCCCAGGCAAGGTTCTTCTCTACACCAGGCACTTTACTGGCCCTGGCGGGCAGGTGTCTGGCTGTGTCAAGAGGCACAGCTGGCCCCCTCCCTCACTCCACAGTGGTCTCTGCTCCCCAACAATGTTCCTCTCTACACCAGGCGCTTTCCAACTTGCTCACCCGCCCACACGACTCCATTTCCTTCCACTCGCCCTTCTCTCTTCCCGCCCTCTCCTGCCCACTGTCTGGCTGGCTGGCTCATGGAGGAGGGAAACCGCAGCCATGCTGCCCTGTACGCGGGGACACTGGGCCTCCTCCCCTCTGCCAAGCAAGTGTTGAGAACCAGGCACTCCAGATCCCAGTGCCATTCCCCTCCTCCCGCAATCCCAGCCTCGACCTGTGCCTGGAGGAGGAAAGGGGCTGAAGAAGCTTCTGGGTTTGCCCATCCAGAGGGAACACATCACAGACCAGACATGGAACCCATACCCTGCCCGTGGTCCCTGCTCTTTTTTTTTTTTTTTTTTTCTTTTTTTGAGATGGAGTCTTGCTCTGCTGCCAGGCTGGAGTGCAGTGGTGCAATCTTGGCTCACTGCAACCTCTGCCTCCCCCGGGTTCAAGTGATTCTCGTGCCTCAGCCTCCTGAGTAGCTGGGATTACAGGCGCCCGCCACCACTCCTGGCTAATTTTTGTATTTTTAGTAGAGACGGGGTTTCACCATGTTGGTCAGGCTGGTCTCGAGCTCCTCTTTTTTTTTTTTTTTTTTTTGAGATGGAGTCTCACTCTGTCACCCAGGCTGGAGTGCAGTGGCGCGATATAATAAATAATAAATAAAAAGGATGGAACCTCACAGAATTTCCAAAGCAAGAGGCATCATATGCCAAGACACACACCACATACCGAACACCCTTCCTCCCTCTCCTCTCCCTGAGCTCCGGGTCCCACACTTGTTATGGGATATGCAGTTGGCCAGTCTCCCTCCTCCTCCACTGGGGCTGCAGTTGTCCCCCAGAGAGACCATGAGGTGCCCCGTCACCACTAACAGCCTTAACTGCTCCAGAACTTGGCCGCTCCCACACGCTCCTGCCTAGAGACCCCCAGCCAGGCACCCTCTGCTTCAGCGCGAAGGAGGAAAACACAGCGTCCCATCCCCCATGACCACATCAGCACTGCTGGGAAGCAGCAAAAGCAGATTTACAGATGAGCTAAACCAGAATTTCAATTATCTGGGCTCTTCCTGTTAACATCCTCCTCCACCTGGGACAACGGATTACTGGGACTTTGCTGGAGCCGTCCCTGGCCTAGTGCAGAGCAGGTGTTGATCAAATGCGCCGGACTGAGAACTGAATATATCATTATATATCTTTGTGCTGCTGGGTAAAGGGCGGTGTCAGCGAAGGAGTCATGAGAAGCTGGAAATTTTGGGGGGCTTGTGCTTCTGATGTGCCTGAGAGATGCCATCTCCATAACCCCAACTCAGCCCCAGCATCCCCTAACCTGCCCTTCCCCTCACCAGAGGGAAGAGGAAGGCTGAGCAAGGCGCCAGCCTCCTCACTTGCTGGGAGTTTCATTTCAGGCTGACCTGCAAGAAGAGGGGACATCTGCAAATTGCATGTTCTGTTCCTTTCCCATCTTCCAGTTAATGATTACTTAAATAAGTGCTTCGGTCCCGAGTGATTCTAACAGTCAGTCAGTCCCCAAGCTCCCACAGCCTAATTATACATGAACAACCGCATGGGGGCTTTAATGCTCAACAGCTCTCTTCCCTATAAGCTGTATGTTAAATAACACGATTGCCCCACCCCCTTTTGCCAGCTGGGGCTGAAGAAGGGGGTGCTGGGGCAAACGAGGCCCTAACGAGGTTAGGGTAGGGACAATGGGCTGTCCTTCCCGGCCCCGCTGTCCTGGCTGGGGGAATCACTCAGCTGCAGATACATTCACACCAACGTGGCGTCCCACAATATCCACCCCCAAACAGACATCCAAAACACTTGATACAACAAAGAACTAACCACAACATTCACAGTCACGTTCACCCAACACACACACACACACACACACACACACACACAAGAAACACTCACTCATGGCAAACATACACGCCTAGCCCTCAGCCAGGTTTATCAGCCCAAAAGGTGGGGACCATGACCCAGCTGCACACACCCTCCTGCCATAAACAGTTATCATCTGTTGTGGTTTCTCTTCTTCTTTTTTTTTTTTTTTTTTTTTTTGAGATGGAGTCTCGCTCTGTCACCCAGGCCAGAGTGCAAGGGCACGATCTCGGCTCACTGCAGCCCCTGCCTCCCAGGTTCAAGCGATTCTCCTGCCTCAGCCTCCCAAGCAGCTGAGATTACAGGGCATGCCACGCCTGGCTAGTTTTTTTGTATGTTTAGTAGGGATGAAGTTTCACCATGTTGGCCAGGCTGGTCTCAAACTCCTGACCTCAAGTGATCTGCCCGCCTCGGCCTCCCAAAGTGCTGGGATTACAGGCGTGAGCCACCACGCCCAGCTCTTTTGTTTTGTTTTATATTGTATTTCTTTGTTTCGATTTTGTTTTTCTTTGCATTTTGTTTTGTTTCGTGCAGTTTCTAATTTGCCTGTCCTGTGGTCCCCCCACTCAAGCACAAAGGTAACACAAGAGGCACCCAGAGTAAAGGAGGACACGTTAGAGACCTCAGCCTTTGTCTTACAATCCGACAGCTTTTCTACCAAAAGAGAGCGATGCCTCTGTGCGTGTGTTTGAAGCGGCATTCCCACCTGGCTCCAAGAGCTGGTGCTGCCTTGCAGACCTCGGCTGAAGCTGCAGGCCAGGCAAGACTGAAACTCCGGATGAGCCTGCGAAGTAGGAAATGCAGGGCAAGTAACAGAAGCCTCCATTCCGAGTGAGGAAGCTGCCACGCCCCCACTCAGGCCTGGTCTAATGAGGTCTCCAGGGCACCTGAGCACTGAGGCTGGCAGTGGACGCAGGGCAGGGTCCCAGTTCCTGGCCGCCTGACCCTCTGGGTCTACCCAGCTGGCACAGTGAGCAGCTGGTGGGCTTGTCACCCCTCCCCAGACCCCCAGCCCCAGCCACAGGCTCCCACGTGGTACTGATGGTATTGGCCACAAGGGGGCCTGGTGAGCCACTGTAGGAAGGTCCAGACCCACAGCTGGGACAATCCCGCTCCCAGTCATCTCCCAGCCAGCGATGGATGAGGCTGAGGCAGTTGACTGCAAGGCAGATCCATCTCGAAGAGAGCCCTGGCCTCTTACAGTCCCAGACACCCTTCCAGGAGCCTTTCAGAGCCACACAGGGCAGGTGACACACCATGGCCCCAAGGCACTAAACTAAGAGGTCCTTTGGCCACACTGCTACTCAGAGGGAAGGGTGAGCAGGTGGCTCCGGGAGTGACGAGTCTGCTCATCGTGGCCCTGCCCCCCGCCGAGGCCTGAAGGACAGGCCATGTCTACTGGAGAAGTGGGTGCACTGGTGATCTCGGGGTGCACTGGTGATCTGGGCTGAACCTACAAGCCTCAGGCTGGGCACGCACCCTCAGGACCGTCATCTCCTGGAACTATCAGGCAGCCTGGATCAGGGCTGCCTCTGGAAAACAGTGTACCCAGGAAAAGAGCCCACTGCCTTCGTGGAGCGGGCAGGGCAGTCCCGGGGTCTTCGCTACCAGGGGCATAACCTGGCCTTGACACATGAAAGGCAGTGAAGGGAAGGAAGCCTAAGCAACGGAAGAGGGCAAGCATGAGGCACATGCAGGGAAAACAGTCAACCTCACCTGCTCCCCGTGTTGATGCCAAACGATCCCTACGAGGAATGACTTTACCAGGAACCAGCTCACCAACTGCCCCAGGAGATGCCCCAGGCAGCCATGTGTGCACCTCCAGCAAAGAGGAGGCTGGCTTACCTTCTTCCACCCTGCAGATGGAGCGCCCCTTCCTCTTAATAAATGCCGCCCATCACAGTCACCTGGCGGGGCCAGGGGATTGCCAGATTCCAGCCCTCACTCATCGCCTGTGCCGGGTGCACACCCTCCACAGGCCCTGCCCCCTCCACAGCCTCTTTGCAGCCTAAGGCAGACAAAAATCTGCATGAGCTTCCCCAAAGGCCCCTGCCTTTTATTTTTTTCTTGAGATGGAGTCTCACTCTGTCGCCCAGGCTGGAGTACAGTGGCGCGATCATGGTTCACTGCAGCCTCAAATGCCTGGGCTCCAGGGATCCTCCCGCCTCAGCCTCCCAAGTAGTTGGGACTACAGGGGTGCACCTCCATGCCCAACTAGTTTTTGTTTTTTAGAGATGGAGGGGTCTTGCTATGTTGCCCAGGCTGGTCTTGAACTCCTGGCTTCAAACAATTGTCCTGCCTCGGCTTCCCAAAGTGCTGGGATTACAGGTGTGAGCCACTGAACCCAGACAGCTCCCCACCCTGGAAGCTCCACCCAGCCAGTGAATCCAGACCAGCCCCTGGGTCTCTCAGGAGCCTGCCCAGAGCGATCAGGATGATAGTCTGCATGAGGCTGAGGCTATAACAGGCACCCCCACCCCTCCGACTCCCCATCCCTCACAACAGCTGACGACCAATTCCCAGAAGAGACCATCTGGGTCTTGGTGCAGGGCCCCCACACGCATCAAGCGAGGAGAATTAGAGATTATCGGTGGGCTGGAAGGCGCTGCTGGAGTGTTTGCCCGCCAGTGATATTGAATTTTAAACATGTGTGCCTGTTTACTCGCCCTGCCGGAGCCTCGCTGACTGCCCCGTAGCCAGGCAACGCTATCTGACCTGGGGGACCACGAGAAGGACTTTCCATGCCAGGCAGGTCACCTGGGGAGGGTTATCTACGTGCTGCTCATCTGAGCAGAAGGCAGTGCCTCCGTCCCTCCCACACCTTCCCACCCTCACCCCCAGGCGACCCCGGACACGCAGGCTGTCAACCATGGGCAGTCCACTTTGTCAGGACGAAACAGAGGGTGCCCCTGGTCCTCCTGGGAATGGAAGCAGTGGCGTGATTAGAACCGGACAGAAGCAGATTGCAGGATTAGGTGTCATTATCAATGTGGGAACCAGCTTTGCTGTTTCCCCACCGGCCGCATGGAGAGCCAGCAGGCTGAAATTGCAACAAGAAAGATTCCGGTTAGACAGGAGGAAGGCGGCGATGTGTGAATGGGAAGCGGACAGTGGCACCTTCCTTCAAGTAAAATTGGGCAAGTCCAAATCAGAGCTGGGCAAAGCTTAACATAAGTCTTTTTTCTTCCTCTCTCAAGGAGTGGTGGCTTTTCCATCAGTTCCATCAGTTGCTGGGGGATCAGCAAGCAGCTGACTGACGGTAACAAAACCAAGGTCATAGCTCCTCTAGGCTGCAGCGTGTGTGCTATGTCCCTCTTCTCTCTGTGGAAATGCTTAGGCACATATTCCATCCCTGCCCTTCAAGTCTCATGGTCGTGGGATCAGGGCAAGGACATCTGATACTGTATCATCAGTCACGGGCTCGCAAAGCAATGAGATCAGGCAGGTGAAGAATTAGTCCCAGAACTACGGAATCCCACAGAGGGAAGGCCCGCTATGCGGTGGGCCGGCTAGCGTTTCCTCTAGGAAGCAGGTAGAGATGCCCATTTTACCGATGAGGACCCAGGGCTGAGCAAAGCCCATGAAGGTGGGTCCTTGTGATAGGCCAAATACTGCCCCCCAACACTCACACCCAGAGGTGCCCTTGTCCCAATCCCCAAAACCTGGGAATGTGTGAGGTTACACGGCAAGGGGGAGTTCAGGTTGTGGCTAGAATTAAGGCTGCCCCTGAGATGGGAAGAGGGGCCTGGATGACCCAGGTCCACCCAGTGTGATCAAAAGAGTCTCTGTAATGAGAAGGAGGCAGAAGAGAGGGAATCCGAGAGACGGCGGTGTGAGAAAGACTTGCTCAGCCGGGCGCGGTGGCTCACGCCTGTAATCCCAGCACTTTGGGAGGCCAAGGCGGGCGGATCACGAGGTCAGGAGATCGAGACCATCCTGGCTAACACGGTGAAACCCCGTCTCTACTAAAAATACAAAAAATTAGCCGGGCGCGGTGGCGGGTGCCTGTAGTCCCAGCTACTCGGGAGGCTGAGGCAGGAGAACGGCCTGAACCCGGGAGGCGGAGCTTGCAGTGAGCCGAGATCGCGCCACTGCACTCCAGCCTGGGTGACAGAGCGAGATTCTGTCTAAAAAAAAAAAGACTTGCTCCAGCGTGGCTGGCCTTGAAAACAGAGGTATGGGGCCAGAATACAGGTGGCCTTCTAGGAGCTGACAAGACAAGAGGATAGATTGTCCCCTAGAGCCTACAGAGGGAATGCGGCCCTGGCAATATCTTTTTTTTTTTTTTTTTTTTTTGAGATGGAGTCTTGCTCTGTTCCCCAGGCTGGAGTGCAGTGGCACAATCTCAGCTCACTGCAACCTCCGCCTCCCGGGTTCAAGCAATTATCCTGCCTCAACCTCCCAAGTAGCTGGGACTACAGGCATGCACCACCACACCTGTAGTATTTTTTGTATTTTTAGTAGAGACAGGGTTTCACCATGTTGGCCAGGCTGGTCTCGAACTCTTGACCTCAGGTGATCCGCCCGCCTCGGCCTCTCAAAGTGCTAGGATTACAGATGTGAGCCATCGCGCCCAGCCCCTGGCAATATCTTGATTTGATCTCAGTGAGACCCATTCCATACTTCTAACCTCAGAACTGTAAGATGATAGATTTGTGTTGTCTTAAGCCACTAAGTGTGTGGGTATTTGTGACAGCGGCCATAAGAAACTAATAGAAACCTCCCGACAGGTTCAAGTACAAGCTGGCTTTGGGGGAGGGAGGAACTGTGACACTCTGGCACCGTGCCTCTGAACTGCTAGTCTCACTCCCATCCTCAAAACTGCGATGCTCTGGGGCACATATTCACAGTGTGCAGTGAGCTTTATTGTTGTAACTGCCTTGAAGCTCTGAGCTGCTCCTCAAAAAACCAAGTGTACACTCCTGACTTCTACCAGGCCCAAGACTCACACAGCAAGGAGAAAGCTGCCAGATGGGTTGTAGAGATCATGCCGTGTGAAGAGGACGTGGGCGCTGCCCGTGGAGGTGGGGCTGTCCACGCCAAGTCAGGCTGCACCGATGGGCCGGGAGGCCTGCGCTTCCTGGCTCCTGTCTCCATGAGTAACACTAAGCTCAGTTACCCCCAGGGCTCAGCCTTGCTCTGCTCTGACCAGGTTCCTTTTTTTTTTTTTTTTTTTGAGACAGAGGCTTGCTGTGTTGCCCGGGCATGATCTCGGCTCACTGCAACCTCTGCCTCCTGGGTTCAAGCTATTCTCCTGCCTCACTCTCCTGAGTAGCTGGGATTACAGACACCCACCACCACGCCCAGCTAATTTTTGTATTTTTAGTAGAGACAGGGCTTTCGCCATGTTGGCCAGGCTGGTCTCAAACTCCTGACCTCAGGTGATCCACCTGCCTCAGCCTCCCAAAGTGCTGGGATTACAGGCATGAGCCACCGGGCCTGGCCTGACCAGGTTCCTAACCCGGCCCGGACCCACGCTGACTGGACCCTCCCCAGGCTTTGCAGACCTGCCTTCCTGCTCCCCAGATCTGACCAGGGCTGCTGGCCTGCTTTCTGCTTTTCCATGCTGGTGTTTGAAGGACTCACTCTGAGCTCCTTCAAGGATGGCCTGGAAGTACCTTCCAAGCCCCAGAATCAACCTCCTCTTAGAGAAAAGGCAGGGAGAGCATCATCCAAGGAATTCCTGGCCTTTTCAGCTTACCCTGGCAAAGGTGTGGCTCTGTGTCCCCATCCAAATCTCATCTCGAACTGTAATCCCCACGAGTGGAGCGAGGGAGCGGTTTTCCCCACGCTGTTCTCGTGACAGTGAGTGAGTTCTCATGAGATCTGATGGGTTTACGTGTTTGGAAGCTCCTCCTTCGCTCTTCTCTTTCCTGCTGCCTTGTGAAGAAGGCACATGCTTCTCCTTCATGATTGTAAGTTTCCTGAGGCCTCCCCAGCCATACAGAACTGTGAGTCAATTAAACCTCTTTCTTTATAAATTACCCAGTCTCCGGTATTTCTTCTATTTATACTGCGATGAAGTATTTCTTTACAGCAGTGTGCGAATGGCTCATCTTGCATCACTTTTGGAGGAAGGTTTCTGTGGTTTTTGCCTCCTCACGGCCATTATGTCTTCAAAGAACAGAGATCACATCTTCCCGGTTCAACCAAGAGTCACCAAGCACGAGGCCAAGCAGACAAGAACAACAGCTCCTGCCTCCTGTCTCCCACAGCCCAGCTCTCCAGACCACGGAACTGACCACCGCCAAGGGGCACTCACATACAGTCCCAAACCACATCTGGAATCCACAGCGGCCTGAGGTCAGGGCACCATTGGGGATCTCACCTGATTCTCAGAATTCTCCTGATCCCCGTGGCATCTCTGAGATGAGATGCAATTCTGGTCTCCTCTGAGCCTGGGCCACCCACTAGCCCCCCGGAGGAAAGAGCTCTAGAAAGAGCCACAGGTCATCTGGCGAAGGTCTCAAACCCAGATGTCTTCAGGGGCCAGGGAGGAGATAGGCTCCAAGACGAAATAGGATTGGGGAGGGGACATTCCCCCTAAAGAGTATTGAAATGACTTTTTTAACATCACGTTGGCCAAACAAAACATATTTGAGGACAAACTCAGCCCACCCCAACGTATGATCCTCGGGGAAGCAAACCCAACTCCTCCACCAGCCCCATCTCATTCGCTTTCCCCCTCCACCTCTAATGCCACTGGCCTCTCTCCTCCATCTTCCACCTTCCTTCCCTCCTTCCCTCTTTTCCCCTCCCCACCTCCGATTTCCTTTCTCCCAAATTCCTCCTCTACAGCAGATGACGTCACCTGGCCATCCACCCCCACTTCTGGCTTCCCGTTTAGAGACAACCAGCCATCCTATTAACATCTGACATTTCAGAAACTTCTCAGTCCTGCTGCCAAATCAAATCAGCTCAGCCATGTCATTTGCTAACAAACCCTATTCGCTCCCGGGATGGGCTCTGCTTGATTCCCACGTGTAACTGAGCCTCGGCTCGGAACACTCCCTCCAGGCATCGGGAGGTGCAGACCGTTACTCAGCCTGCTCTTCTGAGAACAGCAGGTCCCCTCAAAAGGAGCACTCTCAAAGTTCCCAGACTGCACCCTCTCTCCTCCAAAATCACCTGGCTCTCATATTCAAAGCAGGGAGCCAAACTCTATGTATAAAGTTGAAATTACCTTTTTAAATTAATATCTCTACCCCAAAGGTTTGGTTCTTTTTATCATAATCTTTTTCCTCACTGTTAGAGAACTCTTAGAGAAATTAATATCTCTTACAGAGAGGAAACATTTCTCTAAACTTCAGCAACTCCTTCTGAGCCACTTGTTTATTTCTTCTTCATTGGTTAATGCAAGGAAAATTGAATTTAGCTCTTTTTATTACAAAGGAGCACAAACAGTGTGATCTCATTTATGTTTGCCTCTATCTATGTGTATGATGCCAAGATGTCTGGACGATTAGCAAATGGTAAGAACGGATATTTCTGGATGGTAGGATTATGATTAGGACATTATTCATTTTTTTATTTTCTCTGTACTTTACAATTGCTTTAACTTTATAATATGCATATATCATTTTATTTAAAATTGTCTGGGGTGTTTCATATTTGCTGGTTATTTGCACACACACAAAAAAAAAACTGATAAAAATTATCTAAGAAAACAGCCGGGCACATTGGCTCAGGCCTGTAATCCCAGCACTTTGGGAGGCTGAGGCAGGTGGATCACCTGAGGTCAGGAGTTCGAGACCAGCCTGGCCAACATGGTGAAACCCTGTCTCTACTAAAAATACAAAAAAAAAATTAGCCAGGCGTGGTGGTATGCGTCTGTAATCCCAGCTACTCCAGCTAAGGCAGGAGAATCTCTGGAGCCTGGGAGGCAGAGGGTGCAGTGAGCCAAGATTGCACCACTGCATTCCAGCCTGGGCAACAGAGCGAGACTCTGTCTCAAAAAAAAAAAAGGCCGGGCGCGGTGGCTCACACCTGTAACCCCAGCACTTTGGGAGGCCGAGGCGGGCAGATCACGAGGTCAGGAGTTTGAGACCAGCCTGGCCGACATGGTGAAACCCCATCTCTATTAAAAATACAAAAATTAACTGGGTGTGGTGGCAGGTGCCTGTAGTCCCAGCTGCTCGGGAGGCTGAGGCAGGAGAATCACTTGAACTCAGGAGGTGGAGGTTGCAGTGAGCTGAGATTGTGCCACTGCACTCCAGCCTGGCAACAGAGCAAGACTCCATCTCAAAAAAAAAAAAAAAAATAGCCAGGTGTGGTGGTGGACGCCTGTAATCCCAGCTACTCCAGCTGAGGCAGGAGAATCGCTGGAGCCTGGGAGGCAGAGGGTGCAGTGAGCCAAGGTCGTGCCATGAGCCAAGGTCGTGCCACAAGCCAAGGTAGTGCAAGGTCGCACCATTGCACTCCAACCTGGGCAACATCAGCGAATTTCTGTCTCAAAAAAAAAAAAAAAAACAAAAACAAAAAGAAAATACTGGGCACTTTTTTGTTCATTGCCACATCCTTAAGGCTGGATCAATCAATGAGGATTCACTGAAAACCTATTGTGAGTATTTATTAAGCACCAACTACTAAGTGTTTATGAAGCACCTGCCATGGCCCCATATGTACCAGGTCCCGGGGCAGCAGGGATGGGAAGATCATGCTCTACCCCATTTGTGCGAGCTGGAGCTGCACTGGGTCCTCCCAGCCCCGCAACACCCTGTACCTCACACACACACCCTTGCAGTGGCACTTGAATGACTTACAACTACACAAGGAGAGCAGGTGCTGGCAGACCTCGGGGACCTCACCAAGCTCCCACCAGGAACTCCCAGGAGAGGGCAGCCCTGACCCCGTAATGGTGGCCCCCAAAAAGATATGTCTGTATCCAGGAACCTGAGTGTGTAACCTTATTCGGAAAAAGGGTCTTTACCCATGCTGCAGTCTGAATGTACATGTCCCTCCCAAGGTGATGGAATTAGAAGGCAAGGCCTAGGGAGGTGACCAGGTAATAAAGGTTCCACCCTCGGGAACGGGATTAACGTCCTCATAGAAGGCCTGAGGGACTAGCGAATCCCTTCTGTCCTTCCGCCTTCCTCCCTGTGAGGACACTGCAAGAAGGTGTCATCTTAGACGCAGAACGTGGGCCTTCATCAGACAGTGGGTCTCTTGGAGCCTTGATCTGGGATTTCCCAGCCTCCAGAATGGTGAGAAATAAATGGCTATTGTTTGTAAATTACCCAGTCTAAGGTATTTTGTTGTAACAGTTGGAACAGACTGAGATAACAGATATAATTTTAAGATATGAAGGAGTTTGAGATGAGATCATCCCGATTACCCAGGTGGGCTCTAAATCCAATGACAAGTGTCCTTAAAAGAGACACACAGAGGAGAGACCCCCAGGGAGAAGAGGAGGGAGACATGTGAAGAAGACGGAGGAAGAGAGCAGAGCTGTGCAGTCCCCGGCCTGGAGCCACCAGGCGCTGGAAGAGGCAGGCAAGGAGCTTCCCCTCGAGCCTCTGGCGGGAACATGGCCCTGCGGACACCTTAAGGACACCTTAACGGTCCTGCTGACACCTTAACGGCCCTGTGGACACATAACGGCCCTGCGGACACCTTAACGGCCCTGCTGACACCTTAACGGCCCTGAGGACACATAACGGCCCTGCTGACACCTTAACGACCCTGCTGACACCTTAACGACCCTGCAGACACCTTAAAGGCCCTGCGGACACTTTAACGGCCCTGCTGACACCTTAATTCCAGACTTCTGGCCTCTAGAGTTGTGAGAAAATAAATTCCTGGCCGGTCATGGTAGCTCATGCCTGTAATCCCAGGACTTTGGGGGGCTGAGGCGGGTGGATCACCTGAGATCAGGAGTTCAAGACCAGCCTGACCAACATGGCAAAACACCGTCTCTACTAAAAATACAAAAAGTTAGCCGGGTGTGGTGGCCGGTGCCTGTAATCCCAAGCTACTTGGGAGGCTGAGGCAGGAGAATTGCTTGAACCCAGGAGGCAGAAAGGTGCAGTGAGCCAAGATCACGCCACTGCACTTCAGCCTGGGTGACAGAGTGAGACTCTGTCTCAAAAAAGAAAAAAAAAAGATAAGAAATTCCTTTTATCCTTTTATTTCAACCCATCAAGTTCACAGTAATTTGTTACAGCAACCCTAGGAATCAAATCTACACCCCAAGGCCTGAAACTCCAGCTCCACACTCCGCCAAGAGCAGAGTCTGCCGGGGGGGCTCCGGGAGAAGAAGCCAGCGGGAGGGGCACACACAGGAGGAACCCACTGAGGCACAGATCTACGCAGGGGACATCCCTTCACGAAGCAACACAGAACCCACCATCCACTGGCCTCTGAAGTCCCAGACACAGCAGGCTTGAGTGTCGGGTAAATGACACTCATGGAAGAGGGTAGCGGATGGGGGTGGGTGGCAGAACACAGAATCTGGCAGCATCCCGCTGCTGAGCCGGTCTCAGTGGAGTAGAGTCTATGGCAGTTGGCAGAGCAGAAGGGCGGGATTATCAATGAAACCACCCTATGCGTGTTTGGCATATTGACCATGATAACAACCACTGGTGTCCATTATGTGCCGATATTCGACACCTGCAGAAGCCTGGCACTTGACGAAGCCCTCGTCCGCCTGCTTCCTCCTTTAATCCCTGCAGTAACCCTACAGGGTGAGCTCCGTTCTATAAATGAGGAAACCGAGGTCCACAGAAGATGACTGAACTGCACGATGTCACACAGTTGGTTTCTAAATCCCAGGAAGAGGCAAGGGCTCTGTCCCCAGACCCAGCACCATCCAGCGGGGGAGGCAGGGCCTGAAAACAGGCAGGGATGTCACAGACCCAGGGGCTAAGTTCTGGGGTGGGATGGCTGGTCAGGCTTCCAAAGGCAGGTGGCATGCCTGGGGCGGGGGTTGGGGGGCCCCTGGGGGCATCCCCTGGGTGACGCCCTGAATGCCAAGTGCTCTATCAGTCTTCTGAATGCCATCAAGGGGAGACAGAGCCGAGCCCTCACCAACAGGCAGAAAGAGGAGGAGAGCACGACGAGAAAAGGGGAAAGGACAGCCTAGGAACACAGGGAGACCCTGCTTCTACGAATTAAAAAAAATTTTTTTTAAGCCTAGCAGGGCGTGGTGGTGCACACCTGTGGTCCCAGCTACTTGGGAGGCTGAGGTAGGACAGTTGCTTGGGCCCAGAAGGTCAAGGCTGCAGTGAGCCCTGATCGCACCACTGTACTCCAGTCTGGGCGACAGAGAACCTGTCTCAAAAAAAAAAAAAAAAGAAAAAAGGAGGCCAGATGCGGCGGCTCACGCCTGTCATCCCAGCACTTTGGGAGGCCGAGGCGGGCGGATCACCTGAGGTCAAGAGTTCGAGACCAGCCTGGCCAACATGGCGAAACCCCATCTCTACTACAAATACAAAAATTAACCAGGTATGGGGCGGTGCCTGTAATCCCAGCTACTTGGGAGGCTGAGGCAGGAGAATTGCTTGAACCCGGGAGGCAGAGGTTGCAGTGAGCCGAGATCGCGCTACTGCACTCCAGCCTGGGCAACAGAGCAAGACTCCGTCTCAAAAAAGAAAAAAAAGAGAAAAGGAAAAAGGAGAGGGCTAAGGAAGGAGGGCCTGGCAGCCGGTCACCTTTACCATCAGCCCAGACCCCCCAGACCATGGGCCACCCAGGCTGAAAGGGCAGCTGCTCCCCCGCCTGGCCCCCCATGGCTTTTAGGCCCTGCCCCCACTTCCCGTGTTCCCCACAAGGTCAGCATCTGTCCCCGAAATACAGACTCATTTTAATATCAGCTGCAGGCAAAAGAAGTTAGGAAAGAAACTTATGATAGGGACAAACTGCTCATAAAACTCATTCCAACGCCAGCCTTGGGACGCTCCCAGCCCCGAATTATCCAAGTCTCGACTCAGTCTAGTCCCAAAAACCTTCATGAGGATGGCGACCCTGCAGGTTCTTTCTGCCACCCTGGAGACCCCTGTTTGGGTCAGATTCAGAAGGCAAGAGGTGAAAGCACAACCCAGAAAGATGTTCCTTCCTCCAGGTCTGGCTCAGATGCTGGGCTGGATCCTGGTTTTTAGCCTTTTTCCAAGACCCTCAAGGGCATCCACATTTATCAGGCAGGGTTTGGAGTCTGATCCACAAGGCTCTTGGAAGGCCACTCACACAAAATGCAATTTCAATCCTTATTCATTCCACAGACAGGCCCCTCAGCTGTGGGCACCTGGCAGGGCAGAAATCAGGGCGTCCTGACAAACTATATTCACCGAAAACCTGGTGTACTTCCCCCTAGATGGTCTCTCTAAGCATTGCTATTCTCCGCACATTTCAGAAACAAAGTTTTTTGGAGGAATAATAATGACTAATATTTATGTAGCACTTACTGCATACCTCTGTTTTAAGCAATAAAGGCATATTATCTCAATTAATCTTCACTACAGCCACCCAGGGCAGGTACTCTTATTATCCTTGAAATAGTTTGGATTTGTGTCCCCACTCAAATCTCACGTGGGACTGTAACCCTCAGTGCTGGAGGTGGGGCCTGCAGGGAGCTGACTGGATCAGAGGGCGGATTTCTCATGAATGCTTTACCACCATCCCCTCCCTGGTGCCGTCCTCAAGATCATGAGTGAATTCTCACGAGCTCTGGTTGTTTAAAAGTGTGTGGCACCCTCCCTTGCTCTCTTGCTCCCGCTCTGGCCCTGTGACCTGCCTCCTCTCCCTTCACCTTCCACCATGAATAAAAGTTTCCTGAGGCCACCCCAACAGCCAAGCAGATGTCAGCATCCTGCTGCCTGTACAGCCTACAGAACTGTGAGCCAGTTAAACCTTTCTTTTTTTTTTTTTTTTTTTTTGAGATGGAGTCTCATTCTATTGCCCAGGCTGGAGTGTAGTGGCACGATGTCGACTCACTGCAACCTCCACCTCCCAGGTTCAAGTGATTCTCCTGCCTCAGCCTCCCAAATAGCTGGGATTATAGGCGCTCGCCACCATGCCCAACTAATTTTTGTATTTTTAGTAGAAACAGGTTTCACCATATTGGCCAGGCTGGTCTTGAACTCCTGACCTCATGATCTGCCCGCCTCAGCCTTCCAAAGTGCTGGGATTACAGGTGTGAGCCACCACGCCTGGCCAAACCTCCTTTCTTTATAAATTATCCAATCTCAGGTATTACTTTAGAGCAATGGGAGACAGGGCTAATACATCCCTATTCTACAAATGAGGAAACTGAGATGCACAGAGGTTATACAGCTAAGAAGAGGGTAAGCTTTGGCCAGGTGCAGTGGCTTATGCCTGTAATCCCAGCACTTCCGGAGGCCGAGGCAGGTGGATCACCTGAGGTCAGGAGTTTGACACCAGCCTGGCCAACATGGTTAATCGCCATCTCTACTAAAAATACATAAATTAGCTGGGTGTGGTGGCATGTGCTTGTAATCTCAGCTACTTGGGAAGCTGAGGCAGGAGAATCACTTGAACCCAGGAAGCGGAGGTTGCGGTGAGCCAAGATCGTGCCATTGTACTTCAGCCTGGGCAACAGAGCAAGACTCCATCTCAAAATAAAAATGAATTTTAAAAACGGGGGGGCCAGGCACAGTGGCTCACACCTGTAATTCCAGCACTTTGGGAGGCCCAGGTGGGAGGATCACCTGAGATCTGGAGTTTGAGACCAGCCTGGCCAACATGGTGAAACCCCGTCTCTACTAAAAATACCAAAAATGGCTGGGCACGGTGGCTCACACTTATAATCCCAGCACTTTGGGAGCCCAAGGCGGGTGGATCACCTGAGGTCAGGAGTTCGAGACCAGCCTGACCAACATGGAGAAACCCCAACTCTACTAAAAATATAAAATTAGCTGGGCGTGGTGGCGCATGCCTGTAATCCCAGCTACTCGGGAGGCTGAGGCAGGAGAATTGCTTGAACCCGGGAGGCAGAGGTTGCAGTGAGCCGAGATCGCGCCATTGCCCTCCAGCCTGGGCAACAAGAGCGCAACTCTGTCTCAAAAAAGAAAAAAAAAAAGAAGAAGAAGTGGGGAAGCCTTAACCCCAGGCAGACTGGCTCCAGAAACTGTATTCTTAGCTACAACCCTCTATTGCTTCAACTTCTTAAGAAGAACCTCAGAGGGGTCCAGGACCAGGTCGAAGGAGCTGGATTAATCGCCCCTGTGGCAGGCAGGATCATGTGGCCAATCCAAAGGAAAGAAAGATGGGCTGGAGAATCAACAGAGAGGGCAAGAAGGTTCCCAGAAAGAGAATTCTACGAACCCAGCCAGCTGTTCCTCCCACAAAGAGAGAAGGAGCACAGCTCAGCTGGCCTAGACGCCTAGGCCGAAGCCCGTGGCTCGCACCCTATTAGCAAACTTGAGGAAGCGTGGCTCCGCTCTGGGGCCTCCAGCTTGGAAGGCCACGGGCCCGAAGATACATAAGAAGAGGCAAGGGACTCTGATGAGCCAGCTACTCTGGGTTCCCTAGAGAGAAGCCCTGACTGTGTGTTTCTCAAGGGCATCTGCATCTCACTCATCATGGTTGTCATCGCCACCATCGCCATCGTCACAGTCCATCACGGAGCACCTGCGTATCAGATGCTCCACTAGCGATTCTGTGGATGACCTCATTACTGCCCACACCCACTCCTCCCGGTGGCCACCGTCCCTATTATGCAAGTGAAGAGACTGGAGGTCACGGAGATGAAGCGACCTGTTGAAATGATTCACGCAGAGCAGTCTGTAGAGGTGGGGAAGACAGCACAGGCTTCAGACCCACACAGACAAACCTGAGCCCACATCCTGGCTCTGCCACTCACCAGCTGTGGGACCTTCAGCAAATAACCTCTTGTGACAATTTCAATCAGAGATGCCAGAAGTGATTTATCTCAAATGACAACTCCAAATGACTGCCAGTGGCTGCCTACGGTGCTTTGTTGAACAGGATTCTGAGACCACGTCTAAGCTCTTGGGAAAGAGTGCCATGATCAATTACCAGTATCTGCCACGGGAGCCAAACGGTGGACTGACGGCACGGATGGCACGTATTTTCCATCCCTGATGCAGAGAAACACCATGGTTGGAGAGACAATAAACAAACACACGTGTACACTTACATGCCTGGCAGAGTTTTGACTAAGGCACCAAAGCAGTTCAGCAAGGAAAGGAAAGTCTTCTCAACATACAGTACTGGAACAACAGAGTATCCATATGGCAATAAATGAACCTAGACCCCAACATACTGCCATACATAATTAAATTAAAACAAGTTTATCCTAGACCTAGAGCTAAAACAATAAAGCTTCTAGCCGGGCGCAGTGGCTCATGCCTGTAATCCCAGCACTTTGGGAGAGGCTGAGGCGGGCGGATCACGAGATCAGGAGACTGAGACCATCCTGGCCAACGTGGTGAAACCCCGTTTCTAGTAAAAATACAAAAAAATCAGCCAGGTGTGGTGGCAGGCACCTGTAGTTCCAGCTATTCGAAAAGCTGAGGCAGGAGAATCGCTTGAACTCAGGAAGCAGAGGTTGCAGTGAGCCGAGATCACGCCACTGCACTCCAGCCTGGTGACAGAGCGAGACTCTGTCTCAAAAAAAATAAATAAAAATAAAGCTTCTAAAAGAATACATGGAAGGAAATCTTTGTGAGCTGGGGTAAGCAAAGACTTCTTAGGACACACAAAGCTACAGACATAAAAGGAAAGAGTCCATAATTAGACTTCTTCAAAATTAAAACTTCTGCTCATTAAAGACACCGTTAAGAAAAGAAATGGGCCAGGCGCGTTGGCTCACGCCTGTAATACCAGCACTTTGGAAAGCCAAGGTGGGCGGATCGCTTGAGCTCAGGAGTTCAAGACCAGCCTGGGCAACAGGGTGAAACCCTGTCTCTCCCTACAAAAAATTCAAAAATTAGTCAGGCGTGGTGGCACCAGCCTGTAGTCCCAGCTACTCGG